>NC_000012.12:31818199-31970894 GCF_000001405.40 Homo sapiens | reverse complement strand
AGGCTTTTATATGAAATTATAGGAGAAGGGAGGGGGACTCCTAATACTCAAATTGTCTTTTTTCGTTGGAGGATACAATACTGAGGTTATAATCATTGGCTACTGATTGCAACATATAGGCTAAAATGTCTAAGTGCAAGAAAACTTGCATCAATAAAACCTGATTTACAAATAAAGCAGCACCCTTTTGAGTGTTAGGTTATGCATTAATCAGTATACCCATTTGAGGAATGTGTAAGATTCTTTACTCAAGGACAGGATGTCACCATCTTGTATCACAATACCTCCCCAAAGCAAGTTAATCTGGAAGCTTGTTTACTTAAAACTGTCAAATGTGATCTGTAGGTTATTAATACCTAAAAGAGCATCAAAATACAAGAAGCAAAAACCACAATTCACCAATAAGAGTGGAAGACTTCAATTCCCTACTTTCAACAATGAATAGAACAAATAGGTGGAAAATCAACAAGGAAGTAGATGTCTTAAATTCCCACCCACATTCCCTTCCAGTGAGGTGAAAGAAAAAGGTCCAGAGTACCTCAACATGTAGGTGGGTGACTAACTGTCCATTAGTAGACTTCTAGGTATAATTCTGCTTCTCTTCTTTTGCAGATTACTATGGATTGAATCCAATAGTCCAAGTATTCTTGAAGTTGTGAATTGCAAAAATTAATTTGTGAATCAGGAAATAATTAGAAGTAAACAGCTGCAAGAAAGCATAAAGATAATTATGGATGTGGACTTTCATATTAAAGATCTCACTAAGATTAACAATATCTGTGAAATTTAAAAAATATTCTATATCCACACAATGCAAATAACTGAAAAGTTGTCAACCCAGCAGCTTCCTTTATTTGTAAATTGGGCTTACTACAGAAAATTATAAAGCAAAAAATAATCTAAAATTATACCTATAGGAAATAACCATATTACTATCCATGTTAAACACACATGCACAAGCACACATACACATGAATAGAAAGAAGTATAAGAAAATAGACCTAGGCTGGGCACAGTGGCTCACACCTGTAATCCCAGAACTTTGGGAGGCCAAGGCAGGCAGATCACTTGAGCTCAGAAGTTCGAGACTAACCTGGGCAGCATTGTGGTAGCACACACCTGTATTCTCAGCTACTTGGGGGGCTGAGGCATTGGATGAACCCAGGGGGTTGAGGCAGTGGTGAGCGGGAATCATGCCACTGCACTCCAGACTGTGCGACAGAGCAAGACTCCGTCTCAAAAACAAAAGAAAACCAAACAAACCAGAAAATGAACCTAATATTGTGAATATGGCATGGTGGCCAGGTCTGCTGTAGGTCAGATAAAACAGCAAGAAATAGAATATGGAAGTATAAACTGAGCCACAGCAAGAATTTTGGTTTATTTTTTTTGAGACAGGGTCTCACTATGTCATCCAGGCTAGAGTGTAGTGGCACGATCTCAGCTCACTGCCAACTCCACCTCCTGGGCTCAAGCAATTCTCTCACCACAGCTTCCCAAGCAGCTGGGACTACAGGTGAATGCCACCGTGTGGCTAATTTTTTTAATGTTTTGTAGAGATGAGGTTTCTCCATGTTGCCTAGGCTGGTCTTGAACTCCTGAGGCTCAAGCCATCCCAGCCTAAGAATTGTTTTATACACAGGGGTTACCACTGGCCAGGTGTGGTGGCTCACACCTATAATCTCAGCATGCTGAGAGGCTGAGGCAGAGTCCAGCAGTTCAAAACCAGCATGGGCAACACAGTAAGACCCAGTCTCTACAAAAAAATAAAAATAAAAATAGAAACACTAGCTAGGCGTGGTGGTACACGCCTATATTCCCAGCTACTTGGGAGGCTGAGATGGAAGGATCACTTGAGCATGGGAAGTCGAGAGTGCAGTGGACTATGGTAGTGCCACTGTACTCCAGCCTGGATGACACAGCAAGATCTGTCTCAAAAAAGGGAAAGAAAAGTGGGTTGACAATTTATTAAAGGTAAGTGGAACATCATCAGAGTGAATCAAAGTACTATTAACAGCCAATACGACAGGCATAAAAGTCTTTCAGGCCAACCCAAAAGACACATGCATGTAGATAATGTCTAGCAGGTTTCAGTATTTGCTGAATAAACAAACATTATCTGAACACCCCATTAAAGAGAAGTCCTAGGCCGGGCGCGGTGGCTCACGCCTGTAATCCCAGCACTTTGGGAGGCAGAGGCGGGCGGATCACGAGGTCAGGAGATCGAGACCATCCTGGCTAACACGGTGAAACCCCGTCTCTACTAAAAATACAAAAAATTAGCCGGGCATGGTGGTGGGCGCCTGTAATCCCAGCTACTCGGGAGGCTGAGGCAGGAGAATGGCATGAACCCAAGAGGCGGAGCTTGCAGTGAGCCGGGATAGCGCCACTGCAGTCCAGCTTGGGCGAAAGAGTGAGACTCCGTCTCAAAAAAAAAAAAAAAAGAGAAGTCCTAATGTAAACTTATAGATGGGAAAAAGTCCTGACCACTTCTGTTTCCTTTTCTATCTATGCCAACCACAGACATAGCATGATTTCATCTGTAAGCATTTCAGTACCTAAAAGACGTAGGACTTAAGAAATAAATAATATACATTAAAATACTATTCTTATACCTAAAATATATAAATTCGCTCTGGTATTTTAAATTGAAAACTTCCCTTATGGCTTTTTAAGTTCCACTTCTTATGTTCCACAAAGGAAAGTTTATTTGAAGAGTATCCACTGATATGGTTAAACTGAGTAAAGTCTATTTTTCATTGAAAACCTGACTTGCAACATAAGCATTCGAAAAATTAGAGATACCTGTAGAAAGTTAACAAACCACCAATACTAACAATTCAGTGTAAAAAGCCACTTTTCAGGAATTCCAAATGTAACACAATTTATTCAACCTGTACTAGCTCTGGCTTTCTGTCACCTTAGTCACAGAAAAAATTAGCCTATCAGTCCTTAAATAGGCTTTCTAGAATCCATTTTTCTAAGCCCAGATGGTCCTGGACCACAATACAATGGTATGACTTAATAATTTTGACTTTACAATGATGCAAAAGTGATACAGGCATTCAGCAGAAATTGTACTTTGAATTTTGATCTTTTCCCGGGCCTGTGATAGGCAGTATGATATTCTTCCACGCTGGGTGGTGGCAGCAAGCCATAGCACCCAGTCAGCCACGTGATCATGAGCATTAACAATCAATGAAAAACACACACACACACAAAAAAAACAAAAATCCCCCCTGCGGAGGCAGGCTGGTGTTGTGGGGGGTGGGGGTGGGCGGGCGTGCAGGGCTGCCCCTCCCACGGCACATTAAAAAAAACAAAAAACCAATCAATGGTGTACTGTGTTAGCTAAGTTTTTTGGATGTTGTGTTTTCCCATCCCATCATGTCTATAAAACCCCATTTTTGACTTACATTTTCTACTTAATACAGGTTATCGAAATGTAACTCCATCGTAAGCTGAGGTACATCTGTACTACTATAAACAACTAACATTTGAAAATCTGTATGTAAAGAACTATGTGGAATGCTTCATATACTTTTATCTCATTTAAGTATCACAACAAATTAACAAAGACTCGCAATCCTCCCTCTTGCAGCACAGTGGTTAGAAGGGGCAGAACAGTTCTCTATGCTTCTGTAACTGCAGTCAGCAAAAGGCCAAATGGATTCATATATTACTAAGTCCAACAGCAAAATCAAGATCAGTATCCCCAGCCCCACGGGATGACACCAAGCCAGATGAGAACACCAAACTGTGGCCATTTTATAGCCAGCAAGTATACCCCCCAAGGTGGTAAAGTCCTATGCACAATTGAAACCAAGGAGGCAGATGAGAAACTGCTTTGTGACTGTTTCTCACAGGGCTGCTTTTCTCTCACTTTGTTCTTGGAGGACCTGCAGGGTTGTCCTGCCAGAATATGGGTCAGCCTGTGATTAAGCCTAAGCTTTGCCTCCATGGTCTATGAGAAGAGCAAGTCATCAGGGCACCACGGTGAAGCTGTTCACCTACAACTCTGCCTTCCCATCTTTCATGTATCCAGCTACAAACTCTATTCAGAACCACAGGCCATCCAATCAGATATCCTAATCCATTGTACTTTGTCTTAGGCAACACTGGATTAAAAAGTGCCTGCAATCGTGATTCCCAGCAGGATGATCACACCTATTGTGGAGGACATACCAAACGTTCCCCATGCAGAGCCAAGTAAGCTAAATATATCCCAACTACCAAGCTTCACCAGTGAGAGCCACAGGGCTTTCTCCCTAAAAAAGGGAGAAATAAATTGCTCTACTTTTTCTGACTCGTTAACACAGGTACAGCATGAAGTGCTGGCAATCACACATCTTGACTGGCCAGCAGGAAGTTCAGACCAATGCAACAGACTATCATCATTCAGGCTAGAATACTGACACTAGTCTGTTGTGCCTTCAGAGCAGAGAAGCCAGAGACAAATTTTAGACCATGTTTTCTATTTGTATTATTCCCTAAAATGGGAATTAAAGACAACAGAGAACACATGAAGCGGAAGCCAGTTACCCTACGAGAATTCTGCCAAGTAATTCATTTCGGAGCCCTCTGGATACCCAACTCAAGGAAACATCTACTAAATCAAGCTTGTCCAATCCGCGGCCCATGGGCAGCATGCAGCCCAAGACGGCTTTGAATGAGGCCCAACACTAATTCATAAGCATGATTAAAACATTATGAGATTTTTTTTTTGCAATTTTTTTTAAAGCTCATTAGCTATTGTTAGTGTTAGTGTATTTTATGTGTGGCCCAAGACAATTCTTCTTCCAAAGTGGCCTAGGGAAGCCAAAAGATTGGACACACCGTGTACTAGAGGTCTGGTGATCTTAAATATCTGAAAAGCGCTGACAAGCACCCCCAAGTATACATGACACATCAGTGTGTGGCAGGCGGGTACAAACCATATTAAGACAACACTGTGTTGAGGTAAAAACTGTATTCGAAGTATCACTTCTTTTTTTTTTTTTTTTTTGAGACGAAGTCTCGCTCTGTCACCAGGCTAGAGTGCAGTGGCGTGATCTTGGCTCACTGCAACCTCCACCTCCTGAGTTTAAGCGATTCTCCTGCCTCAGCCTCCCCAGCAGCTGGGATTTCAGGCACACGCCACCACGCCCAGCTAATTTTTGTATTTTTAGTAGAGATGGCTTTTCACCATGTTGGCCAGAAGTATCGCTTCTTCATCGCTCCTATTATGAGTGAGTCAATTTTCTGCCACTGGAGATAGACAAAATGCCTTCAGTGGAACAGAAGAGTTCCTCTAAACCATGCAGTTGAGGGTAGCTGTCCAGGTTCTTGGCGTCTTGAACAAAGAACTGAACAAACCACACAAGCAAGGCAGCCAAAGCAGAGACTTATTTTAAAGGACAGCACACTCCACAGGGTGGGAGCGGGGGCAGCAGTGGCTCAAGACAGTCAAGTTACATAATTTTCTGCAGTTTAAATACTCTCTAGAGGTTTACCATGGATTCACGTTATGTAAATGAAGTAGTGGCCAGCCACTAGCCTGATTGGTTGTGGGAGGGGACCAATCAGAGGTACTTTCATTTTCTGACTGCCACTCAGCAACTTTGACACAGAAAAAGGAGGGGTTGAAAAGGGAGTAGCCGGCAGGGAGCAGTGGCTCACGCCTGTAATTCCAGCACTTTGGGAGGCAGAGGCACGCTGATCACTTGAGGTCAGAAGTTCGAGACCAGCCTGGCCAACATGGTGAAACCTCGCCTCTACCAAAAATACAAAAATTACCGCGGTGTGGTGGCAAGTGTCTGTAATCCTAGCTACTTTGGAGGCTGAGGCAGAAGAATCGGAAGCGGAGGTTACAGTGAGCCAAGATCACACCACCGCACTCCATTCTGGGCAACACAGTGAGATTCAGTCTTAAAAACAAAAAACAAAAAAACAAAACGACAAAACTACAATAAACAAGACCATATAGTACTGACACAGGACAGGCATTGATCAATGGAACAGAACCTAGAACCCAGGAGTAAACCCTCACATTTATGGTCCCTAGTAAGGAAGGATCAGAATCCAGGATATCTTAAAAACTTACAACCTGACAATCCAAAGACAACACAAATTTAAGGCCAAAAGTTTTGAATAGATACTTCTCCAAAGAAATCAACATGCACATAAAAAGATGCTTAACATGACTAATCATCAGGTAAATGCAAATCACAACCACAATGAGCTACCACTTCAGGCTCACTTCTATGGCTATAAAAGTTAAGTGTCTATGGATGTAGACCAACCATCTCTCAAACATTGCTGTATAAAATTGTGCATGTCTATTCACAATAGCAAAGACCCAGAATCAACCTAAATGCCCATCAACGGTAAACCGCATAAAGAAAACAGTACACATACACTAGGGAATACTATGCAGCCATAAAAAAAGAATGAGATCATGTCCTTTGCAGGAGCTTGGAGCTAGAGGACATTATCCTTAGCAAACTAACACAGGAAACCAAATATTGCATGCTTTCACACATAAGTGGGAGCTAAATGATGAGAACACATGGACATGTAGAGGGGCTCAACACACTGGGGCCTATAAGCAGGCAAAGCGTGGGAGGAGGGAGAGGATTTGAAAAAAAAACAACTAATTGGGTACTAGGCTTAATACCTGGGTGATTAAATAATGTTCCACAAACCCCCATGACACAACTTTACCTATACACGTACCCCCAAACCTACACACGTACCCCCAAACATAAAACAAAAGTTAAATAAAAAATAAAGTGGTAAATCTACTTTGGATAATAGCCTGGCAGTTCCTCAAAATGTTAAACAGTTATCATAACCAAGGAATTCCACTCCTAGGTATTTACCCAAAAGAAATAAAAATACACGTCTACATAAACACTATGAATGATCATAGCTGCACTATTCACAGTAGTCAAAGAGTGAAAACGTGTCAAACGTCTGTTAACTGATGGAAGAATAAGCAAAAGTGGCATATCCATACAACGGAATATCTGGTAATAAAAACGAATGAAGTAACATACATGTGTTAACATAAATGAGCCTTGAAAACATGCTGGATGAAAAATATTATGACTTCAATTATATGAAGTGTTCAGAATATGCAAACCTACAGAAGTAGATTAATGGTTACCTAGGGAAAGGTGCGTTGGAGAAAATGGGGAGTTACCACTATTGAGTATGGAGATATTTTGGGGGTAATAAAATATTCTTAAATTGACGTGGTGATGGGTGCACAACTCTGAATATACTAAAAACCACTGAAACTGTACACTGGGTGTAAATGAGTGAATAAATGGCTTATGAATTTTATCTCTAACTATAGTTACAAAAGGCATGCTCTGAACAACTTGAAGCTGCTTGCATCTGGAGATGTCAGGGCTGCCCAGTGGAGGGATGGTCTGCCTGAAAACCAAAGCAGAGGACAGCAGAGCTCAAAGATACAGTGTCCCAAATCTTTAAAACTCTCTTTTGGATTTAGATCCTGGATCCATCAAAACCCAAAGGTTGTGCTCCATGAACTTTTTTTTTTTTTTTTGAGACAGTCTCGCTCTGTCGTCCAGGCTGGAGTGCAGTGGTGTGATCTCAGCTCACTGCAACCTCCCCTCCTGGGTTCAAGCAATTCTCCTATCTCAGCCTCCTGAGTTAGCTGGGACTACAGGCGCATGCCACCACACCTGGCTAATTTTGGGGTTTCACCTGTTAGCCAGGGTGGTCTCGATTTCCTGACCTCATGATCCACCTGCCTTGGCCTCCCAAAGTGCTGGGATTACAGGCGTGAGCCACTGCGACCAGCCCATGGACTTTATTTTCTAAGACAGAGTCTCACTCTGTCACCCGAGCTAGGGTACAGTGGCGCGATCTCAGCTCACTGCAACCTCTGCCTCCCGGATAGCCGGGATTTCAGGCATGTGCCACCACGCCTGGCTAATTTTTTGTACTTTTAGTAGAGATGGAGCTTCACCATGTTGGCCAGGCTGGTCTCCAACTCCTGACCTCAGGTGATCTGCCCACCTTGGCCTCCCAAAGTGCTGGGATTACAGGCATGAGCCACCGCACCCGACCCTGATCCATGAACTTTAAAAGTATGTCATCTAATGAATTCTCCTTTGGGGCTTGAAAAATAATAATCACCTTATGGTTTCTGTTTCTTAAAACTTCACTGGACAATACAATTTCTTTTAATACACTTTGTCATTTTAATCACCTTATTTACAAATGAAACCTTGTAATTTGATACATCAAGAGAATCTTAAGTTACTGTCATTAAATCTTTGCGATCATGAAAACCAGGAGCATAAAATGTATAGTTCCAATCTCACTTGAGATTATTTACCTCAACAGCCTCCAACTTTGCTCTTCACTTACAAGTACACTTAAGGTATTAGGAATAGTGTAAGTATTGCATAGTTGCCACCCAACAAAGCATTTAGAATTCCTCAAGGTCCAAGATTCTTTCTTCACAATCTTCTTCCAAAGTGAATGTTTAACTTGCGTATCTATAGCCAGGGTTAGTCAACTGTTATCCTGGACTTATCTCAAAATGAATACACTCCCTGTCTGTTTTACATAATAGAGTGTGCCTCTAATGGGGGAGGGAGGGAGGCCTGATTAGATTCTTGAAATTCACCTTCACAAATGCTTTTTTTTTTTTTTTTTTAAAAAGACAGAATCTTGCTCTGTTACCCAGGCTGCAGTACGATGGGGTGACTTCAGGTCACTGCAACCTCCACCTCCTGGGTTCAGCCACTTGAGTAGCTAGGATTACAGGCATGTGCCACCACGCCCGACTAATTTTTGTTATTATTAGTAAAGATGGGGTTTTGCCATGTTGGCCAACTTGAGGCCAGGGCTGGTCTCGAACTCCTGGCCTCAAGTGATCTGCCTGCCCCAGCCTCTTAAAGTGCTGGCATTATAGGCGTGAGCCACCACACCTGGCCTACAAATACGTTTTAAGCAACATTAAATCAATTCCCTAAGCATTTGAGCTCCAATTATATCCAAGACACTGATAATCTAGGAGGGAAGAGAGATTCCTGTACAATCACAGAGATAATGTAGAACAACAAAGCTTTGGGGCAAGTTTGTCCTGCCTAGGAATTTGGAGGCATTTTTTATTCCAAACAAGCCTGCAGGTAAATCCAGATGTGGACCAGTAGTGACAGGTACTTCCTAACAAAACAAGACCTACAAAAAAGAGAATCTAAGAGGATCTACAGTGATGGGTTTAATCAATAAAAAGCTCATAAATTTAGAGCTTAAATGAACCAGCTGAATTTCTGCTAAGGCAGCATTACATGTCCCAGGCCACAAAATCTATTTCCTCTAACATGACAATAGCTAACATTTATTGGGCACTTGCCATGCATCAGGAGCTGTTTAACTGTGATATGCATGAAACTCATGTAACTCTACCATAACAATCCTATGACATTAGTGCTTGTCCCCATTTTATAGATGAGAGAACAGGCAGAGGTTTATTTTCCAGGGTTGGCTGAGTGCTACAGCCAAGATCTGAACCAAAGCAGTGTGGTTACAGGGACCATGGTCTTAATCATTAGGTGAGACTTCCTAACACACTTTGTGGTTACAGATGAAAGCCCTGGACATGATCACTTTGGCTGCACGGGAAGCATCCTCCCAGAGTGGTGCTCTGCGCCACATTCCCCTATGTGCCACCAACAGTAATAAAATATAATAAAAACAATCAAATAAACACAGCACAGACAGAAGCAGACCTCTGCCCAGGTAACTTCCACCACAATTCCCTTACCAAAGACCTCTTTCCTTATTTTGCTAAGATTAACAACTGATTTTTCAGTACTATGCCAACAACATTTCTTCTCAAGCTTTGCTGTCAATTCCATTGTGACCCACAGTTTAATTTAAAACCGATGTTGATTCACTGAGCTAGTAATTTTATTCGGTAATAGGTGAATTACTCCATAGTTGAGTGTGAATAACCGCCTGGTTAAATCAGGGCGGGTTTCTTAGAGGTGATACACTTACCGTTGAGCACAACTTTACTCTTTAATTATCGTGTACATTCCCATTTCCCTCCAAACACGTCAGTCCCTCTCCACACAGTGTTTACTTCTTTGGTCCTAGGGACAGCAAGAAACATTTTATAATAAAAGAGCACATGCTAATGTGTTTACTAGATATGACACTGCTGTGCAAAACTGTTTTCTTTTATGGCTGCACTGAAAGCATGCTAAGTTTACTGAATTCTTATTAAGTGTCCTAAGTAACAGAAATAGAAACTAGGTCTGGCCTGAAAATACCATTCACTTAAGTTAGAATTTATGTGCGCTCCTCTAGGTCCGCTATTGTAGTATCACTGCAAAACAATAATACTTTATCTCTGCACTTGTCTTTATTGGATTAATATTAAACAGAAAAAAATCCGACTGCACAGGGGAAAAAACCTAAAACCTTAACATGCATGCACATTAACAGTGACTGAAACATGATTAAAGCTAACACATTTAGCAGAAAAATGCAATCCCCAAACAAGCTCTGCGGCCCGCCTACTGAAATGCACCCGCCCGCCACTAAATGAAAATGCGCCTCAAGCTCATACACATCCTTATGTTAAGACAGTATGCACTCGATGTACTACAAATAAATTGTTTTCACGGAAATGATTCCCCGAAAGTTTGCTGCTGAACTCAGGACCCTAAGGACGTTTGCTTAGGGAATCCGTGTCCCTCGAGAACACCTAAGATGGGTATGCGTTTGTGCATTTAAAAATGCCTCAAGGAACTATTGCTGAGGAACAGAAACCATCGCCGGCGCAGAAGCGTTCGCGGACCACTTGGAGATAGATGCCAGTACAGCAATTCTGTTCCAGGAGGCTTCGGCTTAAGAGGGCCGGGGAGGAGGAGAACCCTCGGGAAATAGCAAAAAAAAAAAAAGATTTTTCTTTTTCACTCCAGCGACAGGAAAGCCTTAAAAACATAAGCAGCTCTCATACCCACCCGCCTCACCAGCCGCGCCTCGCAGTTCGACAAAATGCGTCCTAGCCTTCGCCACTCGCGACCTCTACCGCGCAGAGCCAGGCAATGAGGGAAAACAGCCAGCGAGGCCCGCCCTCCGGTGCAAGGCTCGGCATCCGCGGAGGCCCAGGGCCGGCCCCGGTGCGGCGGGCAGAAGCAAGCGCGGCGGCCCGGCCCAGCTCCGGTGGGCGGACGGCGGGACGCGCGAGCCGGCGGGGCCCGAGGCCCGGGTTCCGGGGCCGCCCGCGACTGCGTCTTTGCCGCAGAACAAAAGCGCTCTGCGCCGCGCGCAGGCCCGGACCGCGAGTGCCTCTGGCTCCCGGCTCCCGGCCCCCGCCCCGCCCGGACCCCGGAAGGCGGAGGGACCTCGGGGTGCTCGTCTCACACTTACCGACAAAGGGAAGAGGACCACCCCGGCAAGCGGGGAGAAAACCGGCGGCCTCCCGGGCCCCAGAGTTTAAGTCAAGTGGGGTCCGCCTCCAGGGGCGGGTCGAGGAGCCAGGCCCAGGATCCAGGAACAGCTACGCTCCGCCTCACGCCCGAGGCGGTGGCTGCGAGGGCCGCGCCGCCGCGGTCCTAGTGCCACCAGAGAAGCCGCGGACCCGGCCCGCAGATAACACCCGGGCTTGCAGAGCGCTTTCATCTGCCCGACGCGGAAATCTCCTGCAGCGATCTTCTACCTTCAGCGTGCATCCGCAGCACCCAGAGGGCACGTTAAAGAGAGATTGAGAACCACCAGCAAAACTGCTGATTCAGTAGGTTTGGGGTGGGGCTGAAAAATGTGCATTTCTAACAAGTTCCTGAGACCGACTGTTGCTGCTGGCCTCAGGACCAATTTTTTCTATAAAGCGCATGGAAGTCAGAGTGCACCCAAGAGATTGTTAACCCTTAAAAAACAGAAAAAAAAAAAAGAAATCAACAAGTTAGAGGCAAATAAGTGTGAAAGAAAGTGGATAGTCTATTTGGGGATTCTGAAAGTCCCTGAGGAAAGTTGACTTTGGAGACCAGATCACGAAGCACGACCTCTTAATTGCCGACCTTTTGTTATAGATTAACTCCCTTATTTTCTTGTTCCCAGCTCAGACCAGATGGCATCTGAGATAAAATACGCATTGAATAAGATAAATGACCGCTTGACTATTACATCCTTAATGTGGAATGTTAAATAGACCCTTCCCAAAAAGAAACACTGCCTTGAACCAATCAAATTGCTATGCGTTAACCTTCTATGGAAAATGTTGACATCCTGTTAAGCTTCCCAGACCCTGCCTGTGTAAACGACCCTCAAACTTCTCCCTTTCGAAGCACTGACCCCCATCTTTTGGAGTCTGTGTCCTACCGGGTCGCCATCCTCAAACTTTGCACTCAAATAAACCAATATTTAATCATATTGCCCGAATCTCATTATTAAGGTTTACGTAAGCGTTTACTTAGTAATGAAGGTTGCAACCAGGATGGCAAATCAGAGATTGTGCCACTGGAGAGGGGCAAGGGAGCTTATGTTTATAGGAATTTATTTGTTACATAAATTGTCAGATTAGTTCATTGGTGAATTAAACGAAGAAGTCTTTAGTCATTACTAGAAGAGTGCGTTTGCGTCTGTCAGAAACAAAACAAAAAAACTACATACAGAATATTCTTTCTTTTTTGGGGGGGGGACGGAGTCACGCTCTGTCGCCCAGGCTGGAGTGCAGTGGCACGATCTCGGCTCACTGCAAGCTCCGCCTCCCAGGTTCACGCCATTCTGCTGCCTCAGCCTCCCAAGTAGCTGGGACTACAGGCGCCCGCCACCATGCCCGGCTAATTTTTTGTATTTTAGTAGAGACGGGGTTTCACCATGTTAGCCAGGATGGTCTCGATCTCCTGACCTCTTGATCCGCCCGCCTTAGCCTCCCAAAGTGCTGGGATTACAGGCATGAGCCACCGCGCCCGGCCAGAATATTCTTAAAGATTGGGGGTGGCCAGGTGTGGTGGCTCAGGCCTGTAACCCCAGCACTTTGTGTCACGCGCATCCGTGTGAAGAGACCACCAAACAAGCTTTGCGTGAGCAACAAGACTGTTTATTTCACCTGGGTGCAGGCGGGCTGAGTCCGAAAAGAGAGTCAGCAAAGGGTGGTGGGATTATCTTTAATTCTTATAGGTTTTGGGAGAGGCTCCGCGGAACAATGTTTTGCGGGCAGGGGGTGGATCTCACAAAGTACATTCTCAAGGGTGGGGAGAATTACAAAGAACCTTCTTAAGGGTGGGGGAGATTACAAAGAACCTTCTTAAGGGTGGGGAGAATTACAAAGAACCTTCTTAAGGGTGGGGGAGATTACAAAATACATTGATCTGTTAGGATGGGGCAGAAACAAATCACAATGGTGGAATGTCATCAGTTAAGGCTATTTTCGCTTCTTTTGTGGATCTTCAGTTGCTTCAGGCCATCTGGATGTATACGTGCAGGTCACAGGGGATATGATGGCTTAGCTTGGGCTCAGAGGCCTGACAGTTTGGGAGGCTGAGGTGGGTGAATCACTTGAAATCAGGAGTTTGAGACCAACGTGACCAACATGGTGAAACCCTGTTTCTACTAAAAATATAAAAATTAGCCAGGCGTGGTTGTGGGCACCTGTAATTCTCAGCTACTCGGGAGGCTGAGGCGGGAGAATTGCTTAAACCCAGGAAGCAGAGGTTGCAGTGAGCCGAGATCACGCCACTGCACTCCAGCGTGGGCCACAGAAAGAGTCTGTCTCATGAAACAAAACAAACAAAAAAAGATTGGGGATCAGGCGTGGTGGCTTATGCTTGTAATCCCAGCACTTTGGGGAGGATCACTTGAGGCCAGGAGTTTGAGAGAGCAGCCTTGCCAACATGGTGAACCCAATCTCTACAAAAAATATACAAAAAACAAAAAAAATTAGCCAGGAGTGGTGGCATGCGCCTGTAGTCCCAGCTACTTGGGAGGCTGAGATGGGGGGATCACTTGAGCTTGGGAGGCAGAGGTTGCAGTGAGCCAAGATTGAGCCACTGAACTCCGGCCTGGGTGACAGAGTAAGAGCCTGTCTCGGAAAATAATAATAATAATAATAATAATATTGAGACCAGCTTTCTTGGGTTGTGTGTTGTTGCAAAAACGGTTGTGTTAGATATGAATTCTAAATTTCTCTTCAAAGAATCAATATGTCAGTATGGTCAATCTTTGCCTTTTACTTTTAAACTTAACTTCCTCGTAAAGCAACCTTTTTCCATCACCTGCTCCACCCTGACTCATTTCAATCACCTGCTCCACCCTGACTCATTCCGATTTCCTGCCCCGCCTTAACCATTTTTCCTGCCAAACCGCTCACCCCATCACTCTCTTTAAATTAGCCAATCAGAATTAGTTTAGCCTGTGCGGTCTAACCCTAGCCAACAGGGGAACGACACAGCAGCAGAGGCCACGTGCATCAGGAATAAGAACCCCTTCCCCTCCCTTGCCCAGGTGTGAGCTCACCATTGCTCCATCTGTGAGGGCGCACCCGTCTATAGAAGTACATTGCCGCCGGGCGCAGTGGCTCACGCCTGTAATCCCAGTACTTTGGGAGGCCGAGGCAGGCGGATCATGAGGTCAGGAGATCAAGACCATCATGGCTAACACTAAAAAATACAAAAAATTAGCTGGGCGTGGTGGCAGGTGCCTGTAGTCCCAGCTACTCCGGAGGCTGAGGCAGGAGAATGGCATGAACCCGGGAGGCGGAGCTTGCAGTGAGCCGAGATTGCGACACGCACTCCAGCCTGGGCGACAGAGCAAGACTCTGTCTCAAAAAAAAAAAAAAAAGAAGTACATTGCCTTGCTGAGAATTAAAAAGAAAATTTATATTCGAGTGCTATTTCTTTTGCAACACCAAAACTTTATTTATAACAGTTGTTTGTGAAGGAAATATTTTTCACAGTTTCTTCGTGGGCCTCAAAGTTTAGCAGCAGCTCAGCATGGAGTCAATAGCCCAAGATGGAGTCACTGATATCAAGCCTGGAAAATTGCTAAGCTGCATTAAGGAGACTTTTTTTTTTTTTCATGCTATTGTAGTAAGGACAACATCCATTAATGCAGAGGAATCTTTTCAAAGAAAATGAAATAGACTTAGGGTTTTTATAGGAGGAAGTAAACAAGGAAATCTTGTCTGAATGATTAAGGGATGAGAAAGGGCAGAGGTGGTTAGTTAGTGCTTGTGACATAAGAGGGCAGACTATTCCTTTGCGCTTGAGGTTTGTTGGTTTTGGTTTTTAATTTTTGTAGTCTTCAGTATCTCCTATATCCACCACCATCACCACCTCCTCCATATGGATCTACATAATCTTTTCCACCATAATCTCCCCTCCCACCATCATCTCCTCTGCCTTAGAAACCTCCTTTACCACCTCCATCCCACCTCCTCCCTCTCCCCCACCACTTTCCCATCCTCCTCTACCCCAGCCAACTCTTCCACCTCCACCCCCACAGCCTCTTCTACTACCACCTCTACCTCCACAACCACCACCCCAACCACCCCTTCCGCCACTGCCTTCTTGTCTCTTTTGCCAAGGGGGCATTTCAGAGGGTGGTGGTTCAATTTCATTTGGCCAGCCTCCCCTGTCAGGCACCCTTCCCATCAGCACCTTATTAATGGCACATGCCATCATCTGGCTGGCTCCACTGCTTGTCCTAATGATCTTGGATAGATTATCATGAGCAGCAAGTAGATGCACCATTATAATCGCTGTCTTGGGTGACAAAGCATAACACTGAGGCTGGTAAATTCTTGCTGTGTCATCTTTTCTTACCTTGGCTGTATCACACCGTGCAACGGACTGTATTGCCGCATCTAATTGTTTCATAACATTCGCTAGAGGCACTCATGTTCACAGGAAAGAGCATCATTGACTCTTTCCAGTTGTTCTGCCTGTTTCAAATTTAAATTAATTTTCAGCAGAGTGGTTTTCTTTAATTTTAATAAAAAAATTAACAATTTTTAAAAATTTGAAATAAGATGGGATCTTGCTATGTCACCCAAATTGGTCTCCAACTCCTGGGCTCAAGAGATCCTCCCATCTCTGCCTCACAAAGTGCTGGGATTATAGGCATGAGCCACTGCGTCCTGCCTGTCTTTCACCTTTGATTCCACTTGGTTTAGCATAACCAGAATGTCAGAAGTTGTTTACTTGGGTACACCAAGGTTATCACACAGAACTTGAACTTCCTGATAAATTTCATTATTTTTATCTAATTGAGAATTTTAATGTTTCTTGTTCTGTAATATCTGTGAAGCTTCAAGTTCTGTACTTAAAAATAATAGGAGTTTCAAACAGTCCTTTTTATATTTTTTTATTTACAGTGGCGCGATCTCAGCTCACTGTGGGCTTGACCTCCTTGACTTAAGCAATTCTTCCACCTCAGGCCCCCAAGTAGTTGGAACAACATGCATGCACCACTACACCCAGCTGATTTTTGTATTTTTTGTAGAGATGGGGTTCACCATGTTGCCCAGGCTGGCCTTGAACTCCTGGGACTCAAGCAATCTGTCCACCTTGGTCTCCCAAAGTGCTGGGATAACAGGTGTGAGCCATTGTACCCAGCCAGTCCTCCTTTTTTAAAATGATCTTTAGTATCTCCTGATATGAGTACAGAATATGGACATGCCATTTCTTTTAAAAAAATCATTTACCTCAAGCTGGAAGCTCTCTAGATCATCTCTTCCAGCAGAAGTCATACTTTCTTCCAAGTTGCATAATGATTTTATTTGAAAGCCTAACCATATCCTGTATAGGAATTTATATAGTTTATATATCTATTCCTTTACAGTATATACCACCTTCTTCCTGTATAAAAGCCTATATATATAATCCTATACCGTATATGCTCCTACATATAGTCCACTCTGCTGCCTTCATAAGGGCTTGCTCCTCTAGCAATGGTCCCTTATACCCCAGCACCTCCAGTGTGTCTAGCACATCTCCGTCTATTGTTGGTTCAGGACCCGGCTCTGGCCCTCTAATGGCTCTTTGGCTCAAACCTGTTCAGTGCTCTTAAGTATGCCCCAAGGTTTGAATCTTGTTTTGCAGCTCCCTAGTGATAGAACTTTGTGGGAAAATCACTTCATTTTTTTGTTTTTTCGCTCTTCTGAAAAATGGGGATAACAATAATACTTACCTTATTTAATTTTTGAGATAGTTACATGAATTAGTACATATACCTCACTAGGAGCAGTTCCTGGAACATAGCTGGACACACTTGGCTCAGATAAGGGATTTTCTAGCACCTAGCCACGCAGGTCAGCAAGTAAAAACAAACCCAAGGAGAGGGACTTTTGTTGCCGGAAATTCTGATAGGGACCCCACTCCTATACAGCCTAAGGAGGGCTTAGTGTCCGTTAGGATTTAATGTCTGGGAAGCATTTGGGATAAAGTAGCTGATCTCTCTGCCATGTATCCTTGTCTGTACTTGTGCTGATTTTATCCTCTCTCTGCTAGGTAAGTAAAGGTTGTCTGATTTTTCCAAAAGTGTTTGATCTTTGCACAGTCTTAAAGTACAAGTGATATTCATCAATAGAGTAGTCTTAAATGGTCACCAGTAAGAAACTTGCAAAGGGAGAATGCAATCTCATGGACCTGAAAGTTTGTTTACTCAAGAGCCAAGCTTTACACTGTCTTCTCTCTAAGAGATTTACAACCTAGTGTGCCAGAAAGCCTTGTCAACTGGTCAGGCTTGGGAAAGATTCCCCTCATAGATTAGATTGCTCCATACTATGCTCCCTTTCATAAATTACGGGATCCTCTCCCTATGTTTCCCAGCATTCAAAAACAAAGGCTCTCTTAGATGCTATCTGAGTCTTTCATGAGCATAGTACTTAGCCTTAAGGCTTGTTAAGTCTTTTTTTTTTTGAGACGGAGTCTTGCTCTGTCGCCCAGGCTGGAGTGCAGTGGCAAAATCTCGGCTCACTGCAACCTCCATCTCCCAGGTTTAAGCAATTCTCTGCCTCAGCCTCCCGAGTAGCTGGGATTACAGGCACCCGCCACCAGGCCCGGTGAATTTTTTGTATTTTTAGTAGAGATGGGGTTTCACCATCTTGGCCAGGCTTGTCTTGAACTGCTGACCTTGTGATCCACCTGCCTTGGCCTCCCACAGTGCTGGGATTACAGGCGTGAGCCACCGAAACTGGCCAAGGCTTGTTAACTCTTAAACTTATAAAATATGTTTTAGAAAATGTTTTAATGACATCATTAACATATCTATAGTAAAAGTTATTTTGGTTTGCAAAAAAAAATGCCTATTCATTTAAGTTGTAAATGAGGTCATTAGTTCTTTTTCTTTTCTTGATTGCTCCCTATAATCTGTTTCCCGTTCTTCCTTTTTTTTTGAGATAGACCCTCACTCTGTCATCTAGGCTGGAATGCAGTGGCATGATCTTGGCTCACTACAACCTCCGCCTCCCTGCTTTAAGCGATTGTCCTGCCTCAGCCTCCCAAGTAGCAGGGATTACAGGACCGCACCACTACACCTGGCCAATTTTGTATTTTTAGTAGAGATGGGGTTTCACCATGTTGTCCAGGCTGGTCTAGAATTCCTGACCTCAAGTGATCTGCTTGCCTCAGCCTCCCAAAGTTCTGGGATTACAGGCATGAGCCACCACGCCAGGCCTCCCCTTCTTTTTTGTTTCTTTCCCCTTCTTGTTAGTAATGGTTAGCTGGGTACAAAGTCAGTTTGTATGTAGTCACTTGGAATGTAAGTAGAGATTATATTCCCCCAAGTCTCTCTTGCAGCTAGATGTTGTCAAGTTTCAGTTCTCATAATGACATATAAGCAGAAATGTTATATGCAACTTCTGCCTAAGGGAATGGCTTACCGTGAAACTCTTCTTACATTTGCTTGGATTGGAATGTAGAAATGGCAGTAACTTAATTTCAACCATGCAAAAAAAAAAAAAGAAATAACTCCTGAGGGCAGGAACTCTTCTCTGTTTTTTTGACCATAAACCTCTTTGGTAGTTTGGTAGAGCCCATGGACACCTTCTTAGAATCTTTTTTTTTTTTTTTTTTTTTTTTTAAGACGGATTCTTGCTCTGTCACCCAGGCTGGAATGCAGTGGCACGATCTCAGCGACAACCCCTGCCTTCCAGGTTCAAGAGATTCTCATGCCTCAGCCTCCCTGAGTAGTTGGGATTATAGGCATGGGCCACCAAGCCCGGCTAATTACAGACAGGGTTTCACCATGTTGGCCAGGCTGGTCAGAAACTCCTGACCTCAAGTGATCCACCCGTCTCGGTCTCCTAAAGTGCTGGGATTACAGGCATGAGCCACCATGCCTGGCCAGAATAATCTTTTGAATGCATAAAATAAAATATGTGAGATTACAAAGGAAATTAATTCAAAATGAAAGTTATCAAATATTTTAAAAAATCAAATATGTAAAATGTGGTTAGGCTCTGTTTCCCCACCCAAATCTCATCTTGAATTATAATCCCTATAATCCCCATGTGTCAAGAGAGAGACCAGGTGGAGGTAATTGGATTATGGGGGTGGTTTCCCCCATGCTGTTCTCGTGATATTGAGTGAGTTATCTTGAGATGCGATGGTTTTATAAGGGACTCTTCCCCCTTTGCTCAGCACTTCTTCCTGCCACCTTTTGAAGAAGGTAGCTTGCTTCCCCTTCTTCTGTCGTGATTGTAAGTTTCCTGAGGCCTCCCCAGCCATGTGGAACTATGAGTCAATTCAATCTCTTTGTAAATTACCCAGTCTCAGGCAGTTCTTTATAGCAGTGTGAAAACGGACTAATACAGTATTTATACATTTCTTTAAAGGGGAGAAGGCATGTGGGAAGGAGGGGGTAGGGTGGTGAGGCAAATGGTTATACTTTTGTGGAACTATTAATTAATTAGAGCTCAGTAAATCTACATTTTATACAGATAAGGTGATTATATTATAAAGAATTCAGAGAAAAAGGGAGTAGAGGAAGAATCAATTATGCAAACATCTCAGGGTAGGTGGAGGAATGATTTGTTCTGCTCCTGGGAAGATCAGCTTGTAATTGACATTATCAGTGTGACTCTAGCAAACTTTAGTTTTAGGAGCTAGACTTAGATGGTAGACCTAAAGTTAAAATGGACATGGTTCTTGTTTTATGGGAGGATGTACATCTTGAAAGGTTTTGAGGCCAGCAAAGAGTTTAGTTGGGAAAAATTTATGAGGGCCATCATGTGGAGATGGTATCAGACCTTCTGCCTTTCTGTGAGGGTCTGGGTAATGTATGATGCTTTGACACCAGGTTGTAAAGTAATAGCTGTCTATTTGGGAAAAGGATAGCAGTGCTGCATGACCCAGCACTGCTGCATAACAAGTTTGGGGGTCCTAAGATGTTTTTATTTCTCCTTTACAAGTCACAGGGACTGCTCAGCTGAATGAGCCCTGCTTCCAACCGTCTCACAACTTTGAATCATCACCTCAGCCTTTTTTTTTTCTTTTTTATTGAGATGAGTTCTCACTCTGTTGCCAGGCTGGAGTGCAGTGGTAAAATTACGGCTCACTGCCGCCTCAACCTCCCAGGCCCAAGAGATCATCCCACCTCACCCTCCAGGGTAGCTGGGACCACAGGTGTGTGCTAGCACGCCTGGCTAATTTTTGTATTTTTTTGTAGAGATGTGGTTTTACCATGTTGCCCAGATTGTTCTTGAACTTCTGGGCTTAAGTGATCCACCCACCTCAGCCTCTAAAAGTGCCATGATTACAGGTGTGAGCTACTGTGCCTACTTAAGCCTTTTTTTTTTTTTTTGAGACTGAGTCTGACTCTGTTGCCCAGGCTGGAGTGCACTGGCACAGTCTCAGCTCACTGCAGCCTCCACCTCCCGGGTTCAAGCCATTCTCCTGCCTCAGCCTCCTGAGTAGCTGGGACTACAGGTCCGGGCAACCACGCCTGGCTAATTGTTGCATTTTTAGTAGAGACAGGGTCTCACCATATTGGTCAGGCTGGTCTTGAACTCCTGGCCTCAGGTGATCGGCCCTCCCAAAGTGCTGGGATTACAGGTGTGGGCCACTATGCCCAGCCCCACTTAAGCCTTCGTTACCTTTATTGTCTTTGGTATAAGCCTCTGGATATGATTTGTTTTTACTACTCAAGGTTCTCACAGATGACCTGGGCTCATAGTTCCAAGAGAATTTTGGGGCCTGTGTATTTATTTCTTCTTTGTTCTTTTTATTTGAATATGAGCTCAATGTTGTGCGGTAAATAGAATTAAATATTGGATCCTATGGCAGAATCTTACTAAGGACATTCTAGAACTTTAGTGGCTGTTCTGGTGAACTTTGGATGTGAATAAGATAATCTGTTTTTGGCACCTTACAGTCAATGGTTAAATGTTCCCAGATATTCAATAATTAGCGTTTTTAAATGACCAGGAAGAGTCCTCTCAAAGGAAAATTCTAAAATAGCTTCTATTAAGGACTTATTAGAAAAGGCCAATAAAAATATAGAGGACCTAAAAGCCAACGTTTAAATCTCTTCTCCATCTCTTGCCTAACCCGGGATTAACTTACATCCTAGACCCCTGGCCCTCAACTTCCTCCTGCCTTTCTATTGGGGGAGCCCACCCCCAATATTTCAATGTAGGTTCTTTCTATTTTGCATAAGTGTTGGCTGGCTGAGAAATAAAGAGAGACAGTACAAAGAGAGGAATTTTATAGCTGGGCTGCCAGGGGTGACATCACATATCAGTAGGACTGTGATGCCTGCCTGAGTCTCAGACCAGCAAGTTTTTATTAAGGGTTTCAAAAGGGGAGAGGGTGTAAGAACAGAGAGTAGGTACAAAGATCACATGTTTCAAAGAGCAAAAAGCAGAACCGCTGATAAGAGTCTAACAAAGATCACATGCTTCTGAGGGAACAGGGCAAAGGGCAAAAGCAGAACCACTGATTAGGGTCCAACAACGATCACAGGGCAAAGGGCAAAAGTAGAACCACTGATAAGAGCCTATGTTCAGCGGTGCACATATTGTCTTGATAAACATCTTTTTTTTTTTTTTCTAGTTGTCAAATGATTCTTTATTGAAATATTTTCCTTTGTGCTTAACTGGCTGGGCATTCCACAGCACCACTGTTGATGTCATCTATGATGTCATGAGGGTAGTGGCCATCAACATTACAGCCCACAGACTGGGCAGTCCCCAGGATCTCTTTAATGGTTCCAGAGAGTTCTCTGGCTAAGGATCAGTGCCGCATCTGTCAAGCAATGTTGACGATCTCATCAAAAGTTATATTCCTACTGTGTTTAATGTTTTTCTATTAATTTCTGTCTCTTGGTGCTTCCTTGAGGGCTTTGATGATCAGGGCAGAGGCAGAAGCCACCACCTCAATCTGGGTCTGTCTGTTCTGAATGGTCAGGTTGACTGTAATCCTCAGGCCCTTCTAGTCACCTGTTTCCTTGGCAATGTCATCACCAACCTTTTTTGGAGACAGACCAGGGGGCCGATCTTGGGGGCCAGTGCAGAAGTGGCACTGACTTCACCTCCGGTGCACCTCAGGTATACGACTTTGATCTCATTAGGGTTGAACTTCGGTGGCATGGTGGAGGCGGCTGGTGTCAGATGAACCTGGATTTGGGATGACTAAAGAAAGTTGCACCTTGGCCTCCTCTGAGGTGAAAGCTGAGAGTGATGAAACATCTTAAACAACAGAAAATAGGGTTTGAGAGCAAAGAACCAGTCTGACCACAAATTTACTAGCGCTGAGTTTTCCCAACCCTAGTAAGCCTAAGGATTCTGCAGGAGAGGAGGGCTTATCTCAGTCCTTATCTCAACTGCACAAGACAGACATTCCCAGAGTGGCCGTTCATAGACCTCCCCCCAGGGATGCATTCTTTTCCCAGGGTATTAATATTAATATTCCTTGTTAGGAAAAGAATTTAGCGATATGTTTCCTACTTGCATGTCCGTTTATAGGCCCTCTGCAACAAGAAAAATATGACTCTTTTTGCCCAACCCCGCAGGCAGTCAGACTTTATGGTTGTCTTCCCTTGTTCCATAAAAATCGCTATTATTCTGTTCTTTTTCAAGGTGCACTGATTTCATATTGTTCAAACACGTTTTACAATCAATTTCTACAGTTAACACAATTGTCACAGTGGTCCTCAGGTGACGTATATCCTCAGCTTACGAAGATAACAGGATTAAGAGATTAAAGTAAAGACAGGCATAAGAAATTATAAAAGTATTATTTCAGAACTGATAAATGTCCATATTAAGATGAAATCTTCACAATTTATGTTCCTCTGCCACGGCTCCAGCAGGTCCCTCTGTTCGGGGTCCCTGACTTCCCATAACACCTTTCTTTGACTCATTCCCTTCCTGCTGTGTCTTCCTTAGGTCCTCTTCGCTTTCCTCCATTACTCCTTCCTAAACACCCCCCTTTCACTGGACAGTATCCCTTCGTGATGCCTTACACCTAAGTGATGATGACAACCAACTTAGCTAAGCTTATTGTTTTAAACCTTGGTCAATTTCAGGTTTGCATAATCTAGTTAAGAACCTTCTAAATCCTCCTACGTAAAGAGAAAAATTCATTGAAGGATTTAGGATTATTTTAAGAATTTATAGGATGGAGGCCTGGTGCAGTGGCTCACGCCTGTAATCCCAGCACTTTGGGAGGCCAAAATGGGTGGATCACGGGGTCAGGAGTTCAAGACTAGCCTGGCCAATATGGTGAAACCCCATCTCTATTAAAAATACAAAAATTAGCAGGGCGTGGTGGCACATGCCTGTAGTCTCAGCTACTCAGGAGGCTGAGGCAGAAGAATCGCTTGAACCCGGGAGGCGGAGGTTGCAGTGAGCCAAGATCATGCCACTGCACTCCAGCCTGGGCGACAGAGCAAGACTCCATCTCAAAAAAAGAAAAAAGAATTTATAGGATGGATACTGTAATCTCTATCCATGAGTTTATCTCCTTACAGAATTCAGAGATGATGAAACTCTTATATAATTAATGGATCTTCTCTTATGCTCTCCAGATAGAAGATCTTGAAGAATTTTTATTTTATATATATATTTTTAAGAGACAGGATTACACCATGTTGCCCAATCTGGTCTCAAACTCCTGGGCTCAAGCTGTCCTGCCTCAGCCACCCAAAGTGCAGGGATTACAGGTGTGAGCCACGGTGCCCGGCCAAATCTTGAAGAATTAGGGACATAACTTCTCAAAGGATAAATCCAGTTTTGTTTTGTTTTGTTTTTGAGATGGATTCTCACTCTGTCGCCCAGGCTGGAGTGCAGTGGCATGATCTTGGCTCACTGCAACCTCCGCTTCCCGGGCTCAAGTGATTCTCCTGCCTCAGCCTCCCAAGTAGCTGGGATTATAGTCGCCTGTGACTGCGCCTGGCTAATTTTTGTATTTTTAGTAGAGATGGGGTTTCACCGTCTTGGCCAGGCTGGTCTTGAACTCCTGACCTCGTGATCTACCCACCTCGACCTCCCGAGGTGCTGGGATTACAGGTGTGAGCCACTGTGCCCGGCCATAAATCCAGTTTTATCAGACTAAAGTGAATTATCTTGATCATGACATCATCATGCAAAAGGGAAAATCTCTTTTCCTTCAGAGAAAGGAAGCTCTTTATGATTTTACCTGGCCAATTACCAGAACATAATTTAGAGAATTTCTTGGACTCGTGATATTGTAGACACTGGATTCTGAATTTGTCTATACTGGCTCCCCCTTTCTATAATCAAAACTAGTTGACACACCTGAGTTCTTGTCCCAAATAAACTCACTACCCTTGAATTCCCTAATTGTTATAAACTCTACTTTCTATTTGTGTATAAAAAATCAGGAGAAATTTTAGAGGTGTTAACAGCATGATGGACATCAAAGACCCGTTTCTTGTTACATCTTCTCATTTGGCCCCGTAGCAGTTGCCTACCCTCTTTGGGTACTTACAGCTGCAAAGTTAACTAAAGCCACTGAAGACTTAATCTTAGTAGCTTCACTTAACCTCATTGTCATGCCATTCAGACCTTATTGTTCTTTTACTTTTTAGAGATGGAGCCTTGCTATGTTGCCCAGGCTGGTCTTGAACTCCTGGGCTCAGCAAACCTTCCATCTCAGCCTCCTGCATAGCTGGGACTACAGGCAAAAGCCACTGTGCCCAGCTCAGCCCTCATTCTTGAATGAAAACACCACTTTTCTGCCTCTAGATTTGAGGCAGGAAAATAGGGTCTAGAGGCAGGGAACCTAAGGCCGATTGCTGACTGGATATCAGAGACTACTCCCTTTACAACCCCTCCTTTTTCTGCATGGCAGTTGAAAAATGAAGGTACAGCCAGGTGCGGTGGCTCACACCTGTAATCCCAACACTTTGGGAGGCTGAAGCTGGCGGATCACCTGAGGTTGGGAGTTTGAGACCAGCCTGACCAACATGGAGAAACCCCGTCTCTACTAAAAAGGCAAAATTAGCCGGGCATGGTGGTGCATGCCTGTAATCCCAGCTACTCAGGAGGCTGAGGCAGGAGAATGGCTTGAACCTGGGAGGTGGATGTTGCAGTGAGCTAAGATGTCACCATTGCACTCCAGCCTGGGCAACAAGAGCAAAACTCCCTCTCAAAAAAAAAAAAAAAAAAAAAAAAGGAAACGTGAAGGTACTTCTGATTGGTCCCCTCCCGCATCCTATCAGACTGGTTCTTGGCCACTACTTTATTTGCATAGAACCAACGGGAAACCTCTAGAGGGTATTTAAACCCCAGAAAATTCTGTAACCGATACTGTGAACCACTTGCTGGAGATGGCTCCAACCCTGGGGAGTGTACTTTCATTTAAAATAAATCTCTGCTTTCACTGTCTTGCTTTGTGTGTTTGTCCAATTCTTTGTTTAAAATGCCAAGAACTGGGACAGCTACCCTCAACTGGTAACATATTTTGGTGAGCCAGCCAGGAGGTAAGCCCAAAGTTTGGGATTTATTTTTCTCTTTTTCCTCTTTCTCTTTCTCTCTTCCTTTCCAATTTGGGATCCTTGGTGGACAGCGCCTAAGCATGGAGGCAACAGCATGTTTCTGGCCAGGGCCACTCTCCAGTGAAACTGAAAGGTTTCCATGTGGAAGCGCCTGACCGCCACCAACTGGCTTGAGACCAAGTCCTTTACTTTTTCGGTCTTTCAGCGGCCATTTTCTAGTAGACTGTTGGTAATTGAAGGCAACTGGCTGGGGCCAGTCTCTGGTGTAACCTGAAGGCCAAGGAGTGAATGGGGATGGCTGCCTTGCCTGGAACGGGGAAGGACTCTTTTCTATCTTTTCTGGTTATAGTCCCTGATCCCTATGTGTGACGTAATTGGCAGTGGAAGCTCACCCGGGGCTAACTCATACATGTTTCAGGTGACTTAAACCTTCTTTCCTTATGCTGAATTCTTTCCTTCCCTACTCGACTGGCTAAGGACAAGTCAGAGGGCTTGGGCATGTTGTAGATGGTCTGTGTGAGTCATGGGGGTGGATTCATAAGAGGGAATTTATATACAATTTAATCTTGCCTAAATGTAGAGAGTTAAATAATTGTTTTAAGTGGGATAGGAAAAAAAATCCAAAGGTTTGACTACAAATTAATTCTAGAAGTCAAGGCCTTCATCCAGGGACAAGAGGGAAAGCTCATAGTGGGCCATCAGTGGTGGAGGGAACCATTCCAAAGTGGTGCTAGCACCCATGTGAGTTTAGCGACATCTGACAGGCTAAGATGGGGCCCTTAAGGGTATGCCCCCTGGGAACCCCAATCAGGGGCCAGAATTTTTCCAGGGGGATACCCCAGCTAAAATTTCGGTTACTTAATGAGCCCTCAACTTTTCAAAGTTCTCTTCTCTTTTCTAGACCACTATGGGCAACTCTCCATCAATTCCACCTGATTCCCCACTTGGCTGCATCCTCTGGGATTGAAATCAATTTGACCCTGACAATCTAAAGAGAAAACGTATGATTTTTGTTTCTCCAATACTGTTTGTCCCCATTATAAGCTCCCCAGCCTGGAACAATGGGTGGTCAATAGTAGCCTTAATTATGACACCATCCTGCAATTAGACCTGTTTTTTAAAAGGCAGGGCAAATGGTCAGAAATCCCATATGTATAGGCCTTCATGGCCCTATACCAAAACCTAATAATTCCCCCACAGGGAAGTCCAAAGGCAGAACTAGATATTATAGATGACCCCCTTTTACAAGGGCCACCTGTCTCTCAGGGTGAACAGCAACTGCCTCCATATAGCCGCTTGCCAAGTGTTCCTGAGGCTAAAACCCAAACACTGGGGACCCTACTCAGTCCCCCTCACACTCGGAGGGGAACAGCACATTCAACTCTCCCTCCAGCCCTGCTACCCCTTAGGAAGTAGCAGAAGCCAAGGGGCCAGTCCTAGTGCAGGTCCCCTTCTCTATAACTAATATACAATAACATAAGGGAAAGTGAGGAAGCTGTTCTGAGAATCCCAGGAAATTCATAGATGGGCTCCAGACTTTGACCTTAGCCTTTGATCTCTCATGGAGGGACGCTCAATTCATTCTAGCAATCTGTTACACCTCCTTTGAAAAGGAACACATCCTTGAGGCTGCCCGCCAGGAAGCAGACAATTTATTTGCCCGAAACCCTCAGGGCAATCACCCAGGACCAGACACAGTCCCTACTACTGATCCTAACTGGGACTATAACACACCCATGGGAATGAACAACTGGGCTAAATTTCTTTAGGCTCTCCTTGGAGGAATGAGAAAGGGAATAACTAAAGCAGTAAATTATGATAAAGTAAGGGAGGTTACACAGGGAAAGGAGGAAAATTCAGCCATGTTTCATGGCAGGCTGGAGGAAGCTTTTAACAAATACACTAATCTGGACCCTTCTTCTCCCAAAGGCAAAATAGGAATGGCACAGCATTTCATTAGCCAATCTGCCCCAGCCGTTAGACATAAGCTCCAAAAACTACAGATGGGGCCACAAACTAATCAAAATCAGCTTCTTGATACCACCTTTATGGTTTATAACAATCGTGACCTGGTGGAAGGAAAAAGGGAGCAAAATAAAACGGCAAGCAGGCTGGGCACAGTGGATCACACCCGTAATTCCAGCACTTTGGGAGGCCGAGGCAGGCGGATCACCTGAGGTTGGGAGTTCAAGACCAGCCTGACCGACATGGAGTAACCCCGTCTCTACTAAAAATACAAAATTAGCTAAGCCTGCTGGCACATGCCTGTAATCTCAGCTACTCAGGAGACTGAGGCAGGAGAATCACTTGAACCCAGGAGGCGGAGGTTGCGGTGAGCCAAGATTGTGCCATTGCACTCCAGCCTGGGCAAGAAAAGTGAAACTCTGTCTCAAAAAAAAAAAAAAAAAGAAAAGAAAAGAAAAATGGCAAGCCAAAATTATGGAAGCCATCATTGGCGATGCTGTGAATGCCCAAAGAGTGTCCAAAGGAAACCAGAAGAGCCATAAGGATAATGCCAGCAAGGGCTCTTGCTTCAAATGCAAGAAAGCTGGGCATTGTGCAAAGAATTGTACTAAGCATATGCCAGGCCCTTGCCAAAAACGTGAGGGTACTGGTTATGACCCCTGGCACTGGAGGATTGACTGCCCCAGTTCCCACTGAGGGGCTCAGTCAGTCAAAGCTCTAGCAGTACAAAAGGAGGAATTAGATGAGGAGCCCCGGGTAACTCTGGCTGTGATGGGCCCCCAAATTCAGTTTCTTTTTGATACAGGAGCAAATTAGTCTGTCCTTACTGCTTGTGCAGGAAAACCTTCCTCCCAGTCAATGAGTGTTATGGGAATGGAAGGAAGGCCACAAACAAGCTTCTTCACTCCTCCTTTGATTTGTCAATTTGAGAAACAATTTTTCCAACAGGAATTTCTAGTAGTACCAAGCTGCCCAGTCCTCCTGTTGGGAAGAGATATTATGGTTAAAATAGGGGCACTACTACAATTTAAGCATCACCCAGTGAAATTGCTAATAGTCAAAAATACAATGTCCCAGACCACATTAATAAACAGGCTAACCTGCTAGCATGGTATACTGGGAAACCGGGGAAGGCTAAAACAAAAGTGCCAGTCAAAACACAGCTTAAAGACCCCAGCTATTTTCCCAATTGAAAATAATACCAAGCCAGGGCTGGGCGCAGTGGCTTATGGCTGTAATCTAAGCACTTTGGGAGGCGGAGGTGGGTGGATCAAGAGGTCAAGAGATCGAGACCATCCTGGCCAACATGGTGAAACCCCATCTGTACTAAAAACACAAAACTTAGCTGGGTGTGGTGGTGCACACCTGTAGTCCCAGCTACTCAAGAGGCTGAGGCAGGAGAATCACTTGAGCCGAGGAGGCGGAGGTTGCAGTGAGCCGAGATTACGCCACTGCATTCCAGCCTGGTGACAGAGTGAGACTCTGTCTCAAAACAACAACAACAACTACAAAAAAATACCCAGCCAGGCATGGAGTCTCATGCCTGTAATCCCAGCACTTTGGGAGGCCGAGGTAAGTGGATCACCTGAGGTCAGGAGTTTGAGACCAGCCTGGCCAACATAGTAAAACCCCATCTGTACTAAAAATACAAAAATTAGCTGGGCATGGTGGCACATGCCTGTAATCCCGGCTACTCAGGAGGCTGAGGCACAAGAATTGCTTGAACCCAGGAGGTGAAGGTTGCAGTAAGCCGAGATTGTGCCACTGCACTCCAGCTTGGGCAACAGAGTGAGACTCTGTCTCAAAAACAAAAACAAAAATAAGAAACCAATTAAGCTGGAAGCAAGAAAAGGCTTCATAGTTAAAATAGTTGAGCTATCCAGAGCTGAGATATTACTTACCCATGGGCTCTGAAAACCCTTCAATTCTCCTTGCAACATCCCCATCTTACCTGTTCTAAAGGCTTTGAGGGAATACCAGCTAGCACAGGATCTCAGAATAATTAATGAGGCCATTATCCCTGGCCATCCATTGGTGGTGGATCCATATATACCCTCTTGGCTCAGGTGCCAGGGGATGCAAAATAGTTCTCAGTCCTAGACCTAAAAGATGCTTTCTTCTCCATTCCTCTGCCCCCAGAGTCCCAATAGGTTTTTTGCTTTTGAATGGGAAAATCCTAGTACCAGAGAAAAATAATACACTTGGATGGTGCTCCCTCAGGGCTTCCGGGATAGCCCCCATTTCTTTGCCTGAGTCTTAGAGAGGGATCTGAGGGATCTGCAATTGGAGAATGGGAGTATACTCTAGTATGTGGATGACCTTCTTGTGCGTAGCCAACCTGGGTGGCTTCTGACCAAAATACTATACAAACTTTGAATTTCCTGGAATACGGGATACAAAGATGGCTCAGATTACCCTCCAATGGTTCCAATATTTTGGATATGTCTTAACACCCGGAGCCTGGCAAATATCCCCAGAATGAGCACAGACCATATGTGGTTTGAGCCCTGCCTCCAACACCAAGCAGCAGCTTCATTCTTTTTGGGGAATGGCTGGGTTTTGCAGAATATGGGTACCAAATTTTGGGCTCATAGCAAAGCCTCTATATGAAGCAACAAGGGGGCCTGAAAATGAGCTAATGGAATGGGCCCCAGAAATGAGAGAAGCCTTTGCCAAGCTAAAACAGGCCCTTACCCAGGCTCTCGCTCTTGGCATCCCAGAGCTAACTAAGCCCTTCTCCTTGTATGTAGCAGAGAAGAGGGCCATAGCTATGGGAGTACTAGCCCAGAAATTAGGATCAGAACCCAGACCAACCACCTACTTCTTTTCTTTTCTTTTTCTTTTTCTTTTTCTTTTTCTGAGACGGAGTCTCACACTGTTGCAGGGGCCGGTGTGCAGTGGCACAATCTCAGCTCACTGCAACCTCCACCTCCCAGATTCAAGCAATTCTCCTGCCTCAGCCTCCTGAGTAGCTAGGATTACAGGCGCCCACCACCTCGCCTGGCTATTTTTTTTGTATTTTTAGTAGAGACAGAATTTCACTATGTTGGCCAGGCTGGTCTTGAACTCCTGACTTTGTGATCTGCCCACTTCTGCCTCCCAAAGTGCTGGGATTACAGGCGTGAGCCACCATGCCTGGCCCCAACTGCCCACTTTTCAAAGAAGTTGAATGGAGTGGCCTCCTGATGGCCAAGTTGCCTGCGGGCAATAGCAGCCACTGCTATGTTAGTGGAGGAAGCCACTAAAATCAACCTGGGCCAACTGCTGGAAGTTCTAACCCCCAATCAGGTAAAGTCAGTCTTAGAGATAAAGGGACACAGCCAGGCACAGTGGCTCACATCTGTAATCCCAGCACTTTGGGAGGTAGAGGTGGGTGGATCACCTGAGGTCAGGAGTTCGAGACCAGCCTGGACAACATGGTGAAACCCCATCTCTACTAAAAATACAAAAGTGAGCTGGGCATGGTGGTGGGTGCCTGTAATCCCAGCTACTCGGGAGGCTGAGGCAGGAGAATCGCTTGAACCAGGGAGTTGGAGGTTGCAGTGAGCCAAGATCATGCCACTGCACTCAAGCCTGGCAACAGAGCGAGACTCCGTCTTAAAAAAAAAAAAATCAGCCTCTTCCAGATTCTGAGGGTGACTGGTTCATAGATGGCAGTAGTTTTGTGTCAAATGGGGAGTGCAGAGCTGGATATGTAATAGTAAATCACAACACCATTATTGAAGCCCAGCCACTGCCCCCTGGCACATCAGCACAAAAGGCTGAAATCATTGCTCTTACTGGAGCATTAATGCTGGGACAAAGGAAAAACCTTAACATCTATACAGATTCTAAATATGCATTCTTTGTGGTTCATGCTCGTGCTACAATCTGGAAAGAAAGAGGACTACTACTAACTAGCAAACACTGTCCTATAAAGCATGGGCTTGAAATTATTCAGTTATTAGCAACAATACACCTGCCAAAGGCCGTAGCTATAATCCATTGTGGGGGGCATCAAAGGAACTTAACTCCTATGGCACAAAGGAACAGAAAGGCTGATAGAGAAGCAAAAGCTGAAGGCCTCAGGGTGCAATCCCAACAGATCCTAGCACTACTTCCTTTCTATGATTTCCCAATAGAACCTGAATACACACTGTAGAGTTAATAACGGAGGGGGGGACAAAAACAAGGATCCTGGTGGTATATGGGATCAAAAGCATATCTCCCTCAAACAGCCCAATGGAGAATTGTAAAAACCCTGCTTGACTCCTTCCATATGGGGAGAGATGCCACCCTGGCCATGGTTAACAGGCTCTTCATTGGGCCTAACTTAGCAGGTCTGTCAAGTCTGCTCACTGGGTGCACTTAATAACCCGGGACACAAAATGCCTCCCCTAATAGAACTAGTCCAGAGGAGAGGAACTTAGCCAGGGGAAGACTGGCAATTAGACTTCACCCATGTGCCAGCTTGTAGAGGATAAAAGTTTTTTTTTTTTTAGATGGAGTCTCGCTTTGTTGCCAGGCCGAAGTGCAGTGGCGTGATCTTAGCTGACTGCAATCTCCACCTCCCGGGTTCAAGCCATTCTCCTGCCTCAGCTGCCCGAGTAGCTGGGATTATAGGTGTGTGTCACCACACCCAGCTAATTTTTGTATTTTTTTAGTAGAGATGGGGTTTCACCATGTTGGCCAAATTGGTCTCAATCTTCTGACATCTGGTGACCTGCCTGCCTCGGCCTCCCAAAGTGATGGGATTACAGGCACAAGCCACCATGCCTGGCTAATTTTATATTTTTTAGTAGAGACAGGGTTTCTCCATGTTGGTCAGGCTGCTCTCAACTCCTTACCTCAGGTGATCTGCCCCCCTCAGCCTCCCAAAGTGCTAGGATTATAGGCGTGAGCCACCTCGCCCAGCCTAAAGTTTCTCTTAAAAAGAAATAATCCCTAAGTTTAGGTTACCTCAGAGTCTCTAAAGTGATAATGGCCTGACCTTTATCTCCCAAATAACTCACAGTGTTGCTAAGGCTCTCAAAATCTGTATTAGTCAAGGTTCTCTAGAGGAACAGAACTAATAGGATAGATGTATATATAAAGGGGAGTTTATTAAGGAGTATTGACTCACACAATCACAAGGTGAGGTCCCACAATAGGCCGTCTGCAAGTTGAGAAGCAAGGCAGCCAGTCTGAGTCTCAAAGCTGAAGAACTTGGAGTCTGATGTTCAAGGGCAGGAAGCATCCAGCATGGTAGAAAGATGTAGGCTGGGAGGCTAAGCCAGTCTAATCCCTCCACATTCTTCTGCCTGCTTTTATTCTGGCTGCACTGGCAGCTGATTAGATTGTGCCTACCCAGATTGAGGGTGGGTCTGCCTTTCCCAGTTCATTGACTGGAATGTTAATCTCCTTTGGCAACATTGTCACAGATAACACCAAGGAACAATGCTTTGCATCCTTCAATCAAGTTGACACTCAATATTAGCCATCATAGAATCAAATACTATTTACATTCAGCATGAAGGCCTCAATCCTCCAGGAAAGTAGAAAGGGCTAACCAAACTCTAAAATGAGTGTTATCTAAGCTATGTCAGGAAACATTAGAAACTTTGGTCAGCCTACTGCCCATAGCCTTCTTAAGGACCTGTAATACCCCTAGAGCAGAAATTAATATAAGCTCATAGGAAATGTTATACGGAAGGGCATTCTTCACTAATGATCTAATTACTGATTCAGAAACAGCCAGTTTAGTAAAATACCTAGCTAACCTAGGTCAATTTCAGCAGGCTTTACAAAAGTTTGGAACTCAAAGGCTCCCTATACTGGGAACTAACCAGTAACCCAAAATCAAGTCAGGATAAGGTACTTGTTAAAACATGCAAGGAGGGATCACCTGCTCAACAATTGCAACCCAAATGGAAAGGACCATTTTCAGTGGTAATGGCCACACCTTCTGTGGTCAAAGGACTGGGATTAGATCGTTCAATACATCTTTCAAGGATCAAGTCTGCGATACCTGAAGCCCCAGACCTGGAACCTGAAGTTCCCATCATCCACTACACTGTGAACCTGTGGAAGCCCTGAAGTACCTGTTTAGAAGGCAGCCAAAAGAGAAGAAGAAGCCTACCAATTTTCCTTGGTGTTTTGTTGCATCGTTACTGTAGGCTGGATAACAGTAGCCATGTTTTTATATTTTTTGCAGATTGATTTCCATCTTTCAAACGGTTGGAATCACTTCCTTTGTAGTAATTAAACAATTTTTTTTTTTTGAGAAGGAGTCTTGCTCTGTCACCAGGCTGGAGCACAGAGACGTGATCTCCACTCATTGCAACCTCCGCCTCCCGGGTTCAAGTGATTCTTCTGCCTCAGCCTCTGAGTACCTGGGACTACAGGCACGCACCACCACGTCCAGATAATTTTTGTATTTTTAGTAGAGACAGGGTTTCACCATGTTGGCCAGGATGGTCTTGATCTCTTGACCTTGTGATCGCCTGCCTCGGCCTCCCAAAGTGGTGGGATTACAGGCGTGAGCCACCACGCCCGGCCTAAACAGAACGTTGTTTTTGTTTTGTGTTGTTTTGTTTTTGAGATGGAGTCTCGCACTGTCGCCGAGGCTGGAGTGCAGTGGTGTGATCTTGGCTCACTGCAAGCTCTGCCTCCTGGGTTCACGCCCAGCCTCCTGAGTAGCTGGGACTACAGGCGCCCACCACCAACCCTGGCTAATTTTTTGTATTTTTAGTAGAGACAGGGTTTCACCGGGTTAGCCAGGATGGTCTAGATCTCCTGACCTCATGATCCACCCGCCTCTGCCTCCCAAAGTGCTAGAATTACAGGTGTGAGACACTGCGCCCGGCCAACAGAATGTTTTAATTCATTCCTATAATATCCCTGACAGCATAGGTATCCACCCCTGAAATTCCCATTAAATCTTTTAACCAAATTCATTTTCTCTCGCCTAGAGACCATCAAGCTTCAGATGATCAGCAACAGGGTTTCCAGCCAGTTCCAAATTAAGACAGCACCCCTGGCCATCAAGAAACTACTCTGCTGTCTGGGCACAGTGGCTCACGCCTGTAATCCCAGCACTTTGGGAGGCTGAGGTGGGTGGATCACGAGGTTAGAAGATCGAGACCATCCTGGCCAACATGGTGAAACCCTGTCTCTACTAAAAATACAAAAATTGGCTGGGCACAGCACAGTGGCTCATGCCTATAATCCCAGCACTTTGTAAGGCAGAGGTGGGCAGATCACCTGAGGTCTGGAGTTCGAGACCAGCTTGGCCAACATGGTGAAACCCCGTCTCTACTAAAAATACAAAAATTAGCTGGGTGTGGTGGCGGGTGCCTATAATCCCAGCTACTCAGAGGCTGAGGCAGGAGAATCGCTTGAACCCAGCAGGGTGACAAGAGCGAAACTCCATCTTTAAAAAAAAAAAAGCTGTCTGTGGGTGGGCACTATGTGAGAATCAAACAAGGAAACTATCAAGCCACACACGCTGTCACAACCCACTGAGATTTGCTCAGATCCCGCCATCCCTCAGGCCAAATCTGCACAAGAGTTTGATAGTTTTTATCTGAACAAATTTCTATTTAGTGCGATATATAATTCATTCAAAATTACATCTTTTGAAGCAAACAAATTTTTTTTTAAATTTAAGAGTCAGGGTCTTGCTCTGTTGCCCAGGCTGAAGTGCAGTGGTGCAATCATAGCTCCCCTGCAACCTCAAACTCCCGGGCTCAAGTGATTCCTCACCTCAGCATCCCAAGTAGCTAGGACTACCAGCACCACCACCATACTTGTTGTTTTCTGAACTATTGTAGGAGGGCCTAAAAGTCACCTCTACTCATCTTAGTTCTTAAGTAGGACTTTCTTAAGTAGGGTCCAGAAATCAAATTGACACAAGACATCAAAAAGAGAAGAGCATACATGTTTTATTAATTTTTGCATGTACATGGGGACCCTCACAAGAGAGTGAAGACTCAAAGAAATGACAAAAGTAGGAAGATTTTTTACTTTTCAGATAAAGAATGATAAATTTGTGAAGAAATGACAAGACAAAGGGATCTGGGCCGGAGTAGTAAATTCTAGGGCAGTCACTAGGAGATTTATGGAGAGGTGTAAAGCTAGTGGAAGATAAGGGTTAGTTTAGTAAGTTTATTTATACAGGCCTGTTGGAGCATCAGTTCCCAGTCTCTGGAGATAGGGGTTGTTTTCTCACCCTGGTACAAAGAAGCATTCTCCTCAAAGGAATTTTTATGGATTGTAACAGGTAGAAAAGGACAGGTCAGCTACCTCTTTCTTTTTTTCTTTCTCTCTCACTTTCTTTTCTTTTTCTTTTTTTTTTTTTGAGTCAGGGTCTTGCTGTGTCTCCCAGGCTGGAGTGCAGCAGCATGGCATGGTCTTGACTCACTGGAACCTGTGTCTCCCTGCCTCCCGGGTTCAAGCAATCCTCCCACCTCAGCCTCCCGAGTAGCTGGGACCACAGTGCATGCCGCCACACCCAGCTAATTTTTGTATTTTTTGTAGAGATGGGGTTTCACTGTGTTGCCCAGGCTGGTCTTGAACTCCTGAGCTCAAAAACGATCCACCCGCCTTGGCCTCCCAAAGTGCTAGGAATAGAGGCATGACCCACCGCACCTGGCCCTTTCTTTCCTTTCTTCTTGACAGTGTCTCACTCTTTTGCCAAGGCTGGAGTGCAGTGGCACGATCACGGCTCACTGCAACCTCAAACTCCTGGGCTCAAGTGATCCTTCCACCTCAACCTTCGGAGTAGCTGTGGCACAGGCGTGTGCCACCATGCCTGGCTAGCTCGCCCTTTCTGCAACTACAGTTTCTAAAGTGTCTTTAGCTTAAATAATCAGTATACTAATTCAGCAGATTTTGGAGTGGCACATCCTTCACTCCTTCACTATGAATTCATCTCACAGAAATGAGAAGGTAACTGGCTTTGCTGTTAGAAGTCCCCGAATTTCGGGCCGGGTGTGGTGGCTCACGTCTGTAATCCCAGCACTTTCGGAGGCTGAGGCAGGCAGATCACGAGATGAGGAGATCGAGGCCATCCTGGCTAACACGGCGAAACCCTGTCTCTACTGAAAAAATACAAAAAATTAGCCAGGCGTGGTGGCGGGCGCGTGTGGTCCCAGCTACTCGGGAGGCTGAGGCAGGAGAATGGCGTGAACCCGGGAGGCAGAGCTTGCAGTGAGCCGAGATGGCGACAGAGCGAAACTCCGTCTCAAAAAAAAAAAAAAAGAAGTCCCCGAATTTCAAAATAAAAGTCTTGGGCTTAAAAAGTCTGAATGTTATGCTGTGTGTTTTTTGCCTCCAAGTTTTTAGTTTCAGACTAAAGTAGCCAGGGTTATAAGTAATACAAAAGTGTGATGGCTTTGTACTCTGTCGACTTAGATAAATTCAAACTAAGTGTCCCAGCTTCCTTCCCTGAATGATTCTGAGTTGCAGTTGACCACAGAAGAAACATGAACAAGTTTTAGAAGCCACAAGTGAAGCATCTGCCATTTTCTTTGTGCTGAAAGTAAGGCTATAGTGGCAGGCGTTATTGCAGTGAGGCGTTATTGTTGCTGATTCCCTAGCTGGCCTTGCTGGGGTGGGGCAGGGTGGCATTATGATGTATATTGGTTTTCATCCATGGTCCCTGCCTTGGTACAGTCTTGTTGTAATATGGGGTGTGTCAGACCTCGGAGGCGGGCCTTTGAGCTTCTCTTGCCCTCCTTTCACCTGCCTCAAGGCAGGACACTAATGTTTCCCTCCTTTCTGATTGTGGGTCTTAAGACCCTTGTACACCCTGGGGGAAGAAATGCTGACATCATGAAGCTTCCATAAAAACCCAAGAGGGTCCGGGCTCAGTGGCTCATGCCTGTAATCCCAGCACTTTGGGAGGCCGAGGCAGGCGGATCATTTGAGGTCAGGAGTTCGAGACCAGCCTGGCCAACATGGTGAGACCCTGTCTCTACTAAAAATACAAAAATTAGCCGGATGTCATGGTGCGTGCCTGTAATCCCAGGTACTTGAGAGGCTGAGGCAGGAGAATCACTTGAACCCCGGAGACGAAGGCTGCAGCAAGCCGAGATCATGCCACTGCACTCCAGCCTGGGCGACAGAGTGAGACTCCATCTCAACAAAACAAAACAAAACAAACGAACAAAAAATCCAAGAGGACTGGATTCAGGGAGCTTCTGTATAGCAAACACGCGGACATTCCTGGAGGATGGTGCACCTAGGGAGGGTGTGGAAGCTCTATGCCCCTTCCCCCAAACCTCACCCTACACATCTCTTCATCTATATCCTTTGCAATATCCTCTATAATAAACAGGTAAACATCAGTAAGTGTTTCCCTGAGTTCTGTGAGCCACTCCAGCAAATTAATTGAACCCAAAGAGGGGGTCATGGGAACCTCAACTTGAAGCCAGTCAGAAGTTCCAGAGGCGCAGGCTTGTGATTGGTTTGTGTGAGGGGGCAGTCTTGGGTACTGAGCCCTCAACCTGTAGCATCTGACACTATCTCTGGGTAGATAGCATCAGAATTAGAGGGTACCCACATGCTCTTCACAGCTTGGTATGTGAGAAAAAAAAACCACACAACACATGGCCACAGAAGTCTTCTGTGTTGATTGTTGAGGTGTGAGAGTAGGGGAAAAACACAGTTAGGGAGAGTTTTCCCTACACGGTGGTATCCACGGCCCCTCAAGCTCCTACCATATCTCCTCCTTCAGCTTTTCTTAGACCTGGGCCAGGTGATTGGGTGGTTCTGTGGCAGAGGGCAACAGCTTCTCCTGCAGGTCGCCCAATGTCATTGCTTGTCCTTGTGATTTCTAGTCTATCCATATGGATCCCAAGTCTTGCTCTTCCCTACTTTACATTCAGCCTTCCTGACTGCCAGCCTGGGTGACTTCAGACCCTACACAACCCACAACCCAAGGCGACAGCCTTGTGTAGACCTCTCCAACAGCTCCCACAACTGTCTATACTCTAATCCCTATGATAAATCCTCATAATCTCTATCGTAAACCATACTCTGTTACTCATAGTGTTTATGTTTCTCTGGTCAAACTGACTGATAGTAGGAGTCCATATACTTATGAAATAAACATCTGAAGAGGAATACAAAATTTTGTGCCATGTGCCAGGCATTTTGCTAAGTGTGCCTTATCTCACTTGATCTTCACCAGAACACCATTGTACAGGTGAAGACATTGAGCTCGAAGAGATGAATACATTTTCCCAAGGGCACATTGCTAGACTATGGAAAGCTGTGCAGTCAAGAGAATTTCTACTTATAAACTCTGTGCCATCTTGTAACCACCCAGTGGGTTCACCTTGCTCGCTGCCTCGACAGTCTCACTCTGTCGCCCAGGCTGGAGTGCAGTGGCATGATCTCAACTCATTGCAACCTCCATCTCCCAGGTTCAAGTGATCCTCTCATATAAGCCTCCCAAGTAGCTGGGACCACAGGTGCACACCACCACACCCCACTAATTTTTGTGTTTTCAGTAGAGACAGGGTTTCGCCATGTTGCCCAGGCTCCTAAGCTCAAGCGATCCACCTGTGTCAGCCTCCCAAAGTGCTGGGATTATAGGCATGAGCCATGGCGCCCAGCCTGAGAAAGAATTATTCATGAAGACCTGGCTGTGTGGGAAATCAGAGTTTTATTATTACTCAAATCAGTCTCCCCAAGCATTCGAGTATTTGGTGATCAGAGTTTTGTTTTTTATTTTTTATTTTTTTTTTGAGATGGAGTCTCACTTTGTTGCCCAGGCTGAAGTGCAGTGGCACGATCTCGGCTCACTGCAATCTCTGCCTCCCAGGTTCAAGCAATTCTTCTGACTCAGCCTCCTGAGTAGCTGGGACTACAGGTGTGCTCCACCATGCATGGCTGATTTTTGTATTTTTAGTAGAGATGGAGTTTCACCACATTGGCCAGGCTGGTCTCAAACTTCTGACCTCGTGGTGATCAGAGTTTTTAAGGATAAATTGGTGGGTGGGGAAGCCAGTGGGTTGCAAGTGCTGATTGGTTGGGTCAGAGATGAAATCACAGGGAGTCAAAGCTGTCCTTTTGCTTGAGTCAGGTCCTGGGCGGGGGCTACAAGATTAGATGAGCCAGTTTACCAAGCTAGGTAGTGCCAGCTGATCCATCAAGTGTACGGTCTGCAAAATGTCTCAAGCACTAATCTTATGTTTTACAATAGTAATGTTATCCCCAGGAGAAATTTGAGGACAGTCAGAATCTTGTAGCCTCCAGCTGCATAACTCCTAAACCATAATTTCTGATCTCGTGGCGAATTTTTTAGTCCTACAAAGGCAGTCTAGTCCCCAAGCAGGAAGGAAGTTTGTTTGGGGAAAGTTAAACTATAAATTGAGTTCCTCCCTGAGTTAGTTCTACGTACACCCAGGAGTCAAATTGGATAGCTTGAAGCAAGATGGAGTTGGTTAGCTCAGATCTCCTTTACTGTCATAATTTTCTCAGTTATAATTTTGCAATGGCAGTTTCTATCTTGTCTCTCCAAAGAGCATAATCTTTACCTGGTGCCTTCAGAATGAGGAATTTTTACCCCATAGGTGTTTTGACTTTATTCATCTTTGTTTGAAGGGGATCTGAATATGCGACCCCAAAATATGACACATTGTCATAGGAAAATTTTGAGCTGAAGGTAATTGAGAATCAGGAGATGCAGGTGGCTGGGAGCGGTGGCTCATGTTTGTAATCCGAGCACTTTGGGAGGCCAAGGCAGGAGGATCACTTGAGCCCAGAAACTCGAGACCAACCTGGGCAACATAGTGAGACCTCATATCTGTGGCAGGCCAGTTCTCCCTGACAGTCACACAGACAGGGCTCCATAGCACTCCATTTACATAGATGAATTTCCACAGCGCTTGCCTTAATATTGGGCTAACAATTAAGTCTAGGGAAAATCAATGCTCGGACGTCAGAACCAGAAATGAAATATATGTTCAGTAAGTGCCTTGCACAGGCTTCTCCTAAAACCTGGAGCACGTCAAGATAATGGAGACAGCCTTACATTCCTTGTACCAGGATCTGTCTCGGGTTGACATCTGGGGCGAGTCAAGGTAACATAGACAGTCCTTGAAACGATTTATTTTAAGGAGGAGGGTCTGGAGCAACTCTTAGGACCAAACCGTAGGTAAGATAAAGTAGAAGTAATTGCTCTGGTGCCAGGATCCTCCTTAAGTAAATTTAGGAGACATTTCTTAATCACCCTGGTACGAGGACCCTCACGGATTAGGTAGATTTAGAGGGCATTTTTGGCCTCTGACCTTCTAGTTGAAGCAAAATTAATTACTGATAAACTTAGGCAAATGTGATACTGCACGTAGGCATGTAGTCCAAACATGTATGAGCATGGGAAGAATTGTAATACCTTGAGTTGGTCTGGCGAATAATCTCTGATCTTCTCCCTGTATCCAGTTACAGAAATAAACTCCCTTCTTTCCCAGTCCATCTGCATCTCATTATTGGGCTGTGAGAACATACAGCCAGGCCTGGTTCGGTTCGGGAACATCTCCACCAAAATTTTTTTTTTTAATTAGCTGAGTGTGGTGGTGCTAGCCTGTGGTCCCAGCTACACAAGAGGCTAAGGCGGGAGGATAGCTTGAACCCTGGAGGTCGAAGCTGCTGTGAGCCATGATCATGTCACTGCACTCCAGCCTGGGTGACAGAGCCTAAAAGCAGGGCATAAATTTCCCATTGAGGAAGGTGCTTCCCCACCCACCCAGTACCAGGGAGAGAAGAGTGATTTTTACCAAAGATGGGAATTAACACCAAGATGAATTTGCATAAACAGATCTTTCTAAAATAGCCCTTATCTTCCATTAATTCCCCCATGTTTCCTACTCAGTGCCCCACAATTAGTTCCTTGAAGCTCAAACCCTCTTTCCTTTGTTAAAAAGGTACATAAAACCGCAAGTCTAACTACTTCTTTCCTGAGAACTCTTTTGCATGCAAATATTAATAAAAATGGTGTGCCTTTTCTCCTGTTACTATGTCTTTTATTAGTTTAATTTGCAGGCCCTCAGTTACAAAACATAAGAGGGTTGAGGAAAATTTTTCCTCTCTGACATGTTTCAGTTAAAAAGGAACCAGCCTGACCAACATGGTGAAACCCCGTCTCTACTAAAAATACAGAAATTAGCCCGGTGTGGTGGTGCATGCCTGTAATCCCAGCTACTCAGGAGGCTGAGGCAGGAGAATCGCCTGAACCCAGGAGGAGGAGAATCGCCTGAACCCAGGAGGCAGAGGTTGCAGTGAGCTGAGATCCTGCCACCGCACTCCAGCCTGGGCAACAAGAGCGAAACTCCGTCTCAAAACAAAACAAAACAAAACCAGCTGAAGAAGTTCCTTTGATTAACAGCACAGCACGGAAATGTTAGCTCTCCTTAGCCAAACCTTGAAAGATACTCTTATTTAATCACAGTTTTAAATGTTAGCTTGCTTACCTTAAAAAAAAAAAAAAGCCAGAAGTCAGATATTCATGATGTGAGATAAAATTCTTAAGTGTGGAGGGAACAAAAACTACAACCTTTTGTAAAAGTCACAAAAGGCCAATCTATTGTATCACATATCCTCAAAGAAGAGTCAGGGCATGCTGAAACATGCTGTGTTTTGTTTTTACTAACATTTTCCTTATTACAAAAATGTTACATTCTCATTAGATAAGAATACTTAAAAAAATAAAATATTATCAATATAATTAATGCACTGGTGTTTTTCCTCCTATAACTTTTCTGTGCATAGTTTTCCCTTTCTTTAATTACATGTTATAATGTAATCCTTATAAACATAATTTTAATGATTGAATATGTTTCCAAGGAAAAGAAATATAGTTTACTAAACCATTTCTCTAGTCGTGGACAAAGAGTTGATGGAGACATTTATTGTGTGTGTGCTTTTACATTGACATTTTAAAAACAAGAACTTCTGAAAAATACAAAAGTACAAAAAGTTGCAAAAATTCAATTTCCTACTTTCCTCCCCAGAAATAACCACTGTTTAATTTTATTTTGTGCATATCTTTCCAGACCTTTGTCTTTGAACATACATTCATATTGAAAGGCAAAATCCTTACACAAATTTGCTAAATTAGTTATAAGATTGCTTAACTTTCTCAGGGCAATAAAGACCTGGAACATTTGGAATTAATGTCTCTATCAGGTGGCAAAAGCATCCTAACAATGTATCAATGTTTACAGATTAATTTCTAATCTTATAGAGCAGTAGTGCAGTAGTTTTTCTGTACCTTCGTCAGATGTTGGTTCTTGTCGGCTCTTCATATTTGTGGGTTTTACATTTGAGGATTCAACCAACTGCAGATCAAAATATTTTTAAAAAAGTAGTTGGGGGCGGTGGCTCACGCCTGTGATCCCAGAACTTTGGGAGAACAAGATGGGGGAGGATCATTTGAGCCCAGGAGATTGAGACCAGCCTGAGTACATGGGGAGACTCCATGTCTACAGAAAATAAAAAAATTAGCCAGGCACTGTGGTGTGTGCCTGTGGGACACAGCTACTTGGGAGGTTGTGGTGGGAGGGTCGCTTGAGCCTGAGCAGTTAAGGCTGCAGTGAGCCGGGATCATGCCACTGCAAAACTGCACTCCAGCCTGGGTGACAGAGCAAGACCCTGTCTCAAAAAAACAAAAAACAGGCTAGGCGAGGTGGCTCATGCCTGTGATCCCAGCACTTCGGGAGGCTGAGGCGGGCAGATCACCTGAGGTCGGGAGTTCGAGACCAGCCTGACCAACATGGGGAAACCCTGTCTCTACTGAAAATACAAAAAATTGGCGGGGTGCAGTGGCTCACGCCTGTAATCCCAGCATTTTGGGAGGCCGAGGTGGGTGGATCACGAGGTCAGGAGTTCGAGACCAGACTGGCCAATATGGTGAAACCCTGTCTCTACTAAAAATACAAAAATTAGTCGGGCGTGGTGGCACTCGCCTGTAGTCCCAGCTACTCGGGAGGCTGAGGCAGAAGAATCACTTGAACCTGGGAGGCAGAGGTTGCAGTGAGCCGAGATTGTGCTACTGCACTCCTGCCTGGGCAACAAGAGCAAAACTGTCTCAAAAAAACCAAAAACAAAACAAAAAAAGAGGCCTAGCACAGTGGTGTGGAGTTCCAGCTACTCAGAAGGCTGAGGTGGGAGGATTGCTTGAGCCCAGGAGTTTGAGGCTGCAGTGAGCTATGATTGTGCCACTGCACTCCAGCCTGGGCAACAGACTGAGACCCCGTCTTTTTTTTTTTTTTTTTTTTCAGATGGAGTCTCGCACTGTGGCCCAGGCTGGAGTGCAGTGGTGCGATCTCGGCTCACTGCAAGCTCCGCCTCCCGGGTTCACGCCGTTCTCCTGCCTCAGCCTCCCGGTAGCTGAGACTACAGGCGCCTGCTACCACGCCCGGCTAATTTTTTGTATTTTTAGTAGAGACGGGGTTTCACCGTGTTAGTCAGGATGGTCTTAATCTCCTGACCCCGTGATCTGCCCACCTCGGCCTCCCAAAGTGCTGGGATTACAGGCATGATCCACCGTGCCTGGCCGAAACAGTTTATTAACATGTGCCGCCTGTATACACGCCTGACCCTGTCTCTTAAAAAAAAAAAAGATTGCTTCTGTACTGAACATGTACAGACTATTTTTTCTTGTCACTAGTCCCTAAACAATACAGAATTACAACTATTTACATAGCATTTACATTGTATTATGTATTATAAGTAATCTAGAGATGATTTAAAGTGTGTAGGAGGATGTGAGTAGGTCATATGCAAATACTATGTAATTTTACATAAGAGACTTAAGCATCCGTGGATTTTGGTAACTGAGGGTGGATCCTAGAACCAATCCCACATGGATACTTATCATTTCTTACGAGTGTGACATTCGGGCAAGTGGACTTGGAAAATGATCTGGCATGGTATCAAAAATCAAGCAATTGGCTGGGCGCGGTGGCTCACGCCTGTAATCCCAGCACTTTGGGAGGCCGAGGCAGGTGGATCTCGAGGTCAGGAGATCGAGATCATCCTGGCTAACACCATGAAACCCTGTCTCTACTAAAAATACAAAAAATTAGCTGGGCGTGGTGGCAGGCACCTGTAGTCCCAGCTACTCGGGAAGCTGAGGCAGGAGAATGGCATGAACCCGGGAGGCGGAGTTTGCAGTGAGCTGAGATCGCGCCACTGTACTCTAGCCTGGGCGACAGAGTGAGACTCTATCTCAAAAAAAAAAAAAAAAAAAAAAATCAAGCAATTATCATTTACCTCTTTACAGAATTGGTATACATTTTCTTTAAATATACATAGAGTATACATATTTAAGGTATATATTTATACACACATACCTTCTCACTTGGAAGTTATGAAAGTATTTTCTAAAATTTTTTTTCTGTTAGCTTTATATCTTTATTTGGCTTAAAATTTTTAAATCCCCCCTGCCCTGCCACCAAAAGTATTTATTATTTGATATGATGTAAGGATTTTTATTTTTCTTGAAAACAAACAAAACAGCACCTGTTGAATAGTTCATCTTTCCCCACAATTTGAAAGGAAACTTTAGGTTGCTATATAGTATACATATGCACTTGAGTCTATTTCTGGACCTTATTCTTTTTCAGTGGCCAATTTGTCCCTGCTTAAATATGACAATGTTATTTTTTCTTCTTTTTTTGAGACAGAGTCTCACTATGTTGCCCAGGCTGGTCTCACAATCCTGGGCTCAAGCCAGTCTCCTCCCCCAACCTCCCAAAGTGCTGGTATTGTAGGCATGTGCCACCACGCCTGGCCAACAATGTTTTGATAGCTTTATATTTTGATATCTGGGACAGCATGTCTCCCATATTTATCCCTGTACTCAAAATATGTGATGTATGTTAATCAACTCTTCATGTTTTTATTAATAATTTATATTATTTTTAACTGGTAGAATCTAGGCATGGTCAAAAGAATAAAAGGAAAAATTAATCACACTCCCAATTCTGCATCTCAGCCATCCAGTTTGCTTCTCCAAAGGCAACTAATATTCTAGCTTCTTGGGTATCACTATATGGATATTCTATAGATCATATTTGAGTTGTTTCTATCTTTTGGCTTTTGCAAAGGTGAAATGGACATTCTTAAAAAAAATATATATATATATATATATATATATATATATATTTTTTTTTTTTAAGACGGAGTCTCGCTCTGTCGCCAGGCTGGAGTGCAGTGGTGTGATCTTGGCTCATTGCAACTTCTGCCTCCCAGGTTCAAGCGATTCTCCTGCCTTAGCCTCCCGAGTAGCTGGGACTACAGGTGCATGCCACCATACCCAGCTAATTTTTGTATTTTGCAGAGGTTGCAGTGAGCTGAGATCATGCCATTGTACTCCAGCCCAGGCAACAAGAGCAAAACTCTGTCTCAAAAAAAAAAAAAAAAAACTTAGCCAGGCATGATAGTGGGCAACTGTAATCCCAGCTACTAAAAACACAAAAAATTAGCCGGGCGTGGTGGCGGGTGCTTGTAGTCCCAGCTACTCAGGAGGCTGAGGCAGGAGAATGGCGTGAACCCGGAAGGTGGAGCTTGCAGTGAGCTGAGGTCACGCCACTGCACTCCAGCCTGGGCGACAGAGTGAGACTCCGTCTCAAAAAAATAAAATAAATAAATAAATAAATAAAATAAACTCAGTCATTCTGGTGGATAACACAGATAACTTTGTGGCTTTCCTCTTCACTATGGGGGATAACAGCTTTAACTGTTTGCTATTTGTAATTCCTATTTTATGTAATGCCTGCTTAAGACTTTAGCATGCTTGGGAAGAGGATGTACATCTTTTCCTGGTTTTCATTATGGATTTACAACTTTGCAAAATGTTTACATCTTTGAGCCACCTAGAATTAACTGTAATGGAAGGTAAGCTGTAGGAGTTCAACTCTCGTTTTCCAGCTGGCTACTCAGTTGTCACAATACTATTTATTGAACAATTCATCCTAGATAAATATAGAATCAATTTTTGTGCATGTCCATTTTTTATCTATTGGCAACTAATAAGAAGTAAAACCAACACTGCAGACAAGCATATGAGAGAAGGTATTTTAATTGAGATCTTTTATAAATTGCAATTTGAGAGACACAAATCGAGCAAGCAGCTAAATCATATTCCATACAGACAAGCTGGGCAGGGGCTTATAAAGGTTCCTGGCAAGTTTATACAAGTGGAAAATTTTAGCACAGTCTATGATTGACAATGGCTGATTGACAGCTTAGATGTCTCTTGGTGATGAACGACCTAATTTGGCACAGCTGTCTTCTCAGGAGATTTGTGATCAGGCCCAGTGTAAACAGTTCACATCAAATTCAGCTGCTTCTTTAGGATGTTTGTGATTTGGTCCAATTTGAACATGTCAAATTTCATCTGAGTATATGGGTGATGGGGGTCCAACTCCTTATGCCCTCCTGGCTCCTTTTTAGAGACCTCTGGCATAATCATCTCCATTTTGGATTTCTTTTCAGATTTTCCCCTTTTGATTTAAATATTTCCTTAGAAACCACTGAGATCAATTATTTCAGTAAGCCCTTTGGTTCTGGAATAGATTTGTCCCAGGAAGTCATGTCCCATGGAGGAGGGAGTCATGGTAATGATAGTGGATGATCTGTGTCAAATGGAATAGTCCAAATTTGAGCAACAAGGAGGAGTTGAGGATGTGGGCCCCAATTGTGGTGCACATATGTGGTTAGGGTAGGATTCATGATTGTAGGCCTAATCTGTCAGTTCAATGTGTTGAGCCACCATAATTTTAGTTTCGTTGACAGCAACAGTGTGGCATCAAGCTGAGAGAGGAGAAAAGAAAGAACCAGCTAGGAAGGCGGTTAGGGCAGGTGCTCAGTAGAATTCTTTCAAACAAAGGAACAACCTGAAAACTCAGGCTACAGATACAGATAAGGGAACTAGCACAGGCAGCTTGCCTAGGATATACCCATAGCTGCACAGATAAGGAAGCAAGGCCCAACATAGAAGCACCTTTGTTCTTTGTGTAAGCAGCAGCCTTCCAGGAAATAGTTTCTTTTCCTTTTGTGGGCATGTAGATGGTGGGCTGTGGTGAGTACATTCCTTTCCTTTTTTGGGCATACTTTGGACTGTGAGCCAAACCTCTATGAATCATCACTCCAACACTAGGCTGGTTGTGAGCCAAGGCTCCAGTTGGTCCTTTACACCATCATGCCATTTTCTAAGTGGTGCCTTTTCTAAAGACAACCACCAGTCAGCCAGCACACTAGGGGTACAGGGTGGAGCTACCAGAAATTCACAACTTATGCAATTTCAGTTATGCAAATGAAATGCCCAGACCCATCTGGTTCCTCTGGGTTCCTCATAACAGCCTTTGTACTCAATTGTGAAATGGCAACCCTCTCAGGTCCCCTCTCTGCAGTGGAGAGCTTTCCTCTTTCACTTATTAAACTTTTGCTCTAAACTCACCCTTGGTGTCCACATTCCTTACTCTTCTTGGTCATGAGACAAAGAGCTCCAGGTAATACCTCAGGCAACAAGACTACCTCAAAGCCATTTAACAAGAATATAGTTTAACGAGGATAAACATGACTAGGGTCACAAACAAGAATAACAGGATAAGTTGGAACCCAGATCTTAAAATATTTCCAATAACTGTAGGAAGCAAACAAAAAAGATCAGAAAATTCAAGATTAACCCAATTAAAAAGACTACCAGAAGGTATACCTTTTAAGGATCTGACTAATCTTGGAATCTTCGAGGTTTCCAGTACTACCTGAATTTTTTTATTATTATTATTTTTTGAGACAGGCTATCACGTCGTCACCAGGCTGGAGTGCAGTGGTGGGATCTCAGCTCACCGCAGCCTCAACGTCCCAGGCTCAAGTGATCCTCCAACCTCAGCACCCCCTAGTAGGTGGGACTACAGGTGTGTACCACCACACCTGGCTAATTTTTGTAGTTTTATTAGGGATGGAGTTTCACCATGTTGCCCAGGCTGGTCTTGAACTCCTGCCTGCCTTGGCCTCCCAAAGTGCCGGGATTAGAAGTGTGAGCCACAGCACCCAGCCTTGAATTTTTTATTTACCCAAGCAGAACCAGAGGTGTTGGATATAGCAGACTCCTCCTTGAGCACTGAGTAAATAATCTGAAACTCTTCTATTATCTAATCTTTCACATGCTAGGGATTCTAAGGAGTTTTGTTGGGTCTAATGTCTCTTCCTACAAAGACAGCAAATTGTTACTGAACTTATGCAAATGACTATATTGCCATAAAAGAAGATTAATCACAAATGGTTTCCAAATTCTGAAGGGACCAGGTAGACAGAAATGCAAATGTTTCAATTCTGCTCACAAAAGTCTACTTTACCCAATTGATCTAAGCTATAAATAGCTTAAAGAAGAATAAAATTTTCCTTGACTCTGAAGAACAAAATATAAAGAATGTGGAATGCTTCAGATAAAAAGAACTCATAAAAAATTTCAATTCTTCATCAGTTGAGTCCCATGTAATTAATTCTTGTTTTTCTTGATGTCGGATTAGGAATCTTCATGAACACTTTAGTTTACTCATCAGAGTTCTGGAAGTTTTTACCTAGTCCAATGGTATGATCTCAAAAATTATAAAAAATCTGTATTCAAGAATGCTTGTTATGGTTTTTTTTCATGAATTTCCTTGAAGAAGCAGCAAATTTGGGGCTGCATGTCGTGTTTTATGCCTGTAATCCTAGTACTTTGCAAGGTCAAAGCGGGCAGATCACTTGAGCCCAGGAGTTCCAGAGCAGCCTGAACAACATAGTGAGACCTCATTTCTACAAAAAAATAAAAATAAATTAGCCAGCCATGGTGGCATGCGCCTGTGGTCCTAGTTACTTGGGAGGCTGAGGTGGGAGGATCACCTGAGCCCAGGAGTTCAAGGCTGCAGTGAGCTATGATCACACCACTGCATTCCAGCCTGAGTGGTGACAGAGTGAGACCCTGTCTCCAAAGAAAAAAAAAAAAAGCAAATTTTAGACTGTAGCTGATTATAAACCACCTTTTGAAGAGAATCAAGATCAAGGTAGGCCAGGTGCAGTGGCTCACGCCTGTAGTCCCAGCACTTTGGGAGGCCAAGGCGGGTGGATCACGAGGTCAGGAGTTTAAGACCAGCCTGGCCAAAATGGTGGAACCCAGTCTCTACTAAAAATACAAAAAATTCGCCAGGCGTGGTGGCAGGCACCTGTAATCCCAGCTACTTGGGAGGCTGAGGCAGGAGAACGGCATGAACCCGGGAGGCGGAGCGCTTGCAGTCAGCTGAGATCGTGCCACTGCACTCCAGCCTGGGCGACAGAGTGAGACTCAGCCTCAAAAAAAAAAAAAAAAAAAAAAAAACAAGGTAAAATAACAATTGCCTGTGGATGACAAAAGAGAATAGTCATGATTAATGATGGAACTGATAAGGAAGTATGGTTATTTCTGTGGTGTCAACAATTTAACACAATAATTAGAATTATGACTGATAACACATACCAAGATATATCAGATCTTTTTAGAAATTTTATACAATTTTGGAACACATATTAAAAATGCATTTATACAAATACAACTTCAAGAAGGTAAAACGTTATTTCTTATTTGACAATGAAATACCTCCTGTATAATTTAAGTAAAAGTTGATATTTAGGCTATGTATTTATACATATATAATACATATAAATCTTTTTTTTTTTTTTTTTTTTGAGAGAGAGAGGGTCTCACTCTATCACCCAGGCTGGAGTGCAGTGGTGTAATCATAGTTCACTACAGCCTCGAACTCTGGGGCTCGAGGGATCCTCTTGCCTCAGCCTCCAGATAGCTGGGATTATAAATGCATGCTGCCATGCTGGCTAATCAAAAAAATATATATTTGTAGAGACTTCGTCTCACTATGTTGCCCATGCTGGTCTTGAACTCCTGGCCTCAAGCAATCCTCCTACCTTGTTCTCCCAAAGTGTGGGCCATCTCACCCAGCCTGAATTCCTCTCCTCTTAAACTCCAGCTGACTATATGTGCTCCACCTCTCTGCTTTTTTTCTTGTTGACATTAATTTTGCCAAGGATAATGTAAAATTTATTTGGCTTTTTGGGAACAAGACCTCAAACTGGCTCCTCTAAGACTTGTTCTTCCATTTATATCCCTCCTTCCTCTTGCCACCTTTGCTACCACATGAGGGCAACTAACAACTATGTTTTATTATTTTTGTTTAATATTATTGAATTTTTGTTAATTGTTTGTAGAAAGAGGGTCTCGCTGTGTTGCCTAGGCTGGTCTTGAACTCCTGGCCTCAAGCAATACTCTCACCTCAGCCTCCCAAAGTGCTGGGATTATAGGCATGAGCCACTGAGCCCAGCTGGTAACGAAGACTTATAACAGTCCTGGGTCTCCTTGAGGACCCCTTGAAGGCCACATATTCCTTTTCTGGGGGTGGGAGGATCACTGTTTTCCTCGTAGAGCCCCAAGAGCTGTGGGTGGATAGGTTCCTCTCAGGTCTAACTCTCTACTCTTTTTCATATTTAACCTTGATCCTTTTGGCTTTTAGATACATACATGTGAGTTGGGCATAGTGGCACATGGCTATAATCCCAGGTACTCAGGTCGCTGAGGCAGAAAGATCATTTGAACTCAGGAGTTTGAGGCCATCCTGGACAGCATAGCGAGACCATGTCCCAAACAAAGAAACAAAGCCAAATAGACACATACATGTGTATGATATATGTTGTATCTACATGTATTTATATGTCTATACATATGTTTGTGTATTGTCTACATGGTACCAAATTAACTTAAAAATAAATGAGTGCTCATAAATAAGTTGAAATATTTTTTAAGTTTATGTGACTTTAGTAAATCTTTTGGTAGACAAGGCTAGTTTAATATTGTTGGTTTAATAAAAACAATTATGTCTCCTGAGTTGTCAGCAAAACATGCATGTATTTAACTTTAAGTTTCTTACTTTTATGATATTTACCTAACATACAGTAATAAAAAATGGTTACCTTTAGAATTTTGCTAAGCTAAATTAAATTATGGATAGTCATTGAATATCTAGGTCATTTCCAAATAAGATATAATGCTAAGACATTAATTACTAAATTCGAGTTTAAGCTTATATACTTTTGGCTCTGTTTGTTTGGTTATTTGAGACAGAGTCTCACTCTGTCACCCAGGCTGGAGTGCAGGGGCACGATCTCGGTTCATGGCAACCTCTGCCTCCCAAGTTCAAGGGATTCTCATGCTCTAAAAAGTCAAAAGTCAAAAGTCGATTTTGACTGTAGAGCTCTTAAAAAAAATCTTTTGACCAGATTTTAGATGGACAAATAGCAAACATTCCTATTTCTTGGCTTCATTTCTGAAATTTGCACCAAGAAGAAGCTTTTTGTTTTTGTTGTTTTTTGTTTGTTTGTTTTTGCAGGGGTGGGGGTATATTTGCCTATTAGAGGTCTAGAATAATCACTATTTTATTTATTTGTTTGTTTTTCCCGAGACAACTCTGTCACCCAGGCTGGAGTGCAGTGGCTCGGTCTCAGATCACTGCAACCTCCACCTCCCAGGCTCAAGTGATTCTCATGTCTCAGCCTCCTGAATAGCTGGGACTACAGGCGCGTGCCACCATGCCTGGGTAATTTTTGTGCTTTTAGTAGAGACAGGATTTCACTATGTTGGCCAGGCTGGTCTCAAACTCCAGGCCTCAAGTGATCCGCTCGCCTCAGCCTCCCAAAGTGCTGGGATTACAGGCGTGAGCCACCATGCCCAGCACTAGAATAATCACTATTTAAAGCTGTTGTCTTTGAAATGTTTTAATAAACTTGTTGAGTATGTGGTTCCATTTAGCTCAGGAGAGAAGGCTGAACAAACAAAGGAACAAAAAGTTTTCATAAATTTATAAATTTCATAAATTTAAATATAAACTATATAAATATTTTATATTTAAAATATAAACCGATGTTTAAAATCAAAGGTATACCTGAACAAATGAGAAAACCAACACAAATAAACACACAGGAGACCCAAACCAAGAAGCCCTTTTAAACCAAGCCCTTCATTAAAACTTGGCTTTAATCAAGTTTCCCAAAGAGGGAGCAAAAGTTAGCAGCCCTTACAGGATCCAGACCCTCCCAAGGACAGCTTAGAGAAAGCTTCCCTAGCAACAATTGGGGTGCAACCCCACATTTGTTCACCATATTCTCTATGGCCTCAGCTTTTCAGCCCAGTGTCTGCCAGACCTTCCACAAAGGCAGACCTTCCCTTGTGTGCCCAGCAGACAGACAATGAGAAGAGACAGTCACTAAAAGAGGAAAACAAAAGCTGCCCATGGGGGTGGAAAGAATTACAAATGGGCACCCCAAAACCTCAAGAGTCACACCAAAAATTCAAAACAATTAACCAAGCTAATTCTTATAAATGTTTCTCCCCTGAGCTAAAGACATCCCCTGAGGAAAGGAATTTTTTGGTTGGTCCGGAGAACTTTAGCTCTGTTTCAAATCCAATCTCGCTGGAATGCTGCTTAGCTAATTCCCTAAATGCTAACATTTCAAAAACATGGTAAGGTTTACATCTCCAAAGGACTGAGAAAGGCCTGGAAAATGCTGGAGTGACTTTAGTAAATCCTGCAGCAAAGTTGAGCAGGCAATTTGAACATTTAAAGAATTTTCTGCGGGTGTTAAAGGAGAACTCTCCAGAAAAAAAAGTTTTAGCCGTTAACAGTCCAAATTTCCAAAGGTTGGCCAGGTGCATTGGTTCATGCCTATAGTCCTAGCACTTTGGGAGGCCAAGGCTGGAGGATCTCTGAGTCCAGGAGTCTGAAACCAGTATGGGGAATATAGTGAGAAAGCCATCTCTACAAAAATTTTTTTTAAAAATTTAGCCAGGCATGGTGGCACATGCATGTATAAGTCTCTGCTACTTGGGAGGCTGAGGTGGGAGAATCACTTGAGCCTGGAATGTCGAGACTACAGTGAGCTGTAATTGTGCCACTGCAACCTCTGCAGCTTGTCTCAAACAAAACAAAACAAAATAAATTTCCAAAGGTATACCTCTAACTGGGACTCAAAACCTGTAAGCCTTTTTATGGTATATAATCAGATGCATAAATTATGCCTGAAGAGGGTGCAAGTATGCAGTTCCCCTCAAGATCTGAAATTTCTTCTGAAGATAGCCTAAGAAAGTAAAGACCCTCATTATCAAGGCAATGAAGGTTGAGACAATTAAGACAAATTTCCCTGAGAGATGACACATTTGAAAAAACAGACATTTCAGACCCCCGGCTGGACTCACAGCTGGCCATCTGACATAAGCTCAACAATGTACGCTCTCTGAGGTGGTAGAGACTGGAGAATAAATTTGCTGGTGACAAAGCCAAGCTTCTCAAGAAATTAAGCAGGATGAAAGGAGAATCTTATGATTTTTCCTCCTTATGAGAAGCCCTACAAAAAGAGAGCGACAAGGGAAATAAAGACCATCTTTGGAAACTAAAGAACAATAACCAACAGTACCTGAAGCAGATTCACAAGAGTCACATTTCAAAAAACTAATTGTTTTTTATTTGTAATTTTTTTTTCCTGCCAATCTGAACCTGGAAAAGAAGAAACAGGGAAATTTTTTACCTTCCTCTCTTGACCAGGTACCACAAATAGAAGTCTGGGAGAAGCTAGTTGGGCGCAGTGGCTCACGCCTATAATCCCAGTACTTTGGGAGGCCGAGGCAGGTGGATCACGAGGTCAGGAGTTCAAGACCAGCCTGGCCAACATGGTGAAACCCCGTCTCTACTAAAAATACAAAAATTAGCTGGATGTGGTGGCAGGTGCCTCTAATCCCAGCTACTCGGGAGGCTGAGGCAGGAGAATCGCTGTAACCCAGGAGGCAGAGGTTGCAGTGAGCCGAGATCACGCCACCATTACACTACAGCCTGGGCAGCAGGGGGAGACTCTGTCTCAAAAAAAAAAAAAAAAAAGAAGTCTGGGAGAAGCTGACTTTCATAAAAATCCTACCTATTTATATTGGCTTCTGCAAGTTCTCCCAGGATTCCACTTATAGGTCTTGGAGTGAGTGGAGTGTCTCTATTGGTCCCAACTGAGTTGCCAAATTGTAGAGGAGAAAATATAATTTTTTTCTTTCCCTCATAGGTTCTTATTTGAGACACTCCCCAAAACAATGAAGCCATCCTTGTAATTAAAAGTGGCAACAGAAAACACCTGAAAAAAGGCCTCAATCTGAACCATGTCAGGAGGTTTAGAACACAAGAGGACTCACCCAGTGAATTCCAGGGCTATCAAGATCAATGGAGTGCAAAAGCGTCCTGCAGGTACCTTTGCTTGGGTCCATGGTGGCATCAGAGATCAAGAGGGAACTGCTCTGTATCCCACTTCTGACACCACGTAATATAAACTAATAAGAAATAAAACCAACGCTGTGGATCAGCAAACAAAAGAGAAGATATTTTAGCCCAGCATGATGGCTCATGCCTGTAATTTCAATACTTTGGGAGGCTTAGGTGGGAGGATCACATGAACCCAGGGGTTAGAGACCAGCCTGGGCAACATAGTAAGACATTGTCTCTACAAAAAATAAAATTAGCTGGGCACGGTGGCGCATGCCTGTAGTCCCAGCTTGGGAGGCTGAGGTGGGAGGATCACTTGAGCCTGGGAGGTGGAGGTTGCAATGAGCCAAGATTGTGTCACTGTGCTCCAGGCTAGGTGACAGAGCAAGAGACCCTGTCTCAGAAAAAAAAAAAAAAAAAAAAGGTATTTTAATTGGGGTCTTTCATGACTTGCAATTTAGGAGACACAAATCTGTTCCATTCAGACAAGACTGGGCAGGGGCTTATAAAGGTTTCTTGCAAGTTTACACAAGTTGAAAATTTTAGCACAATCCATGATTGACAATGGTTGATTGACAGCTTGTATGTCTCTAGGCAGTAATGAGCTTAATTCAGCACAGTTGTCTCCTCAGGAGGTTGGTGATTAGACCTGGTGTAAATAGTTCAAATCAAATACAGCTGCTTCTTAAAGAAGTTTTAAATTTGGCTCAGTTCAAAGAGGTCAAATTCCTTCTGGGTGTGTACGTGACTGGGGTTCAACTCCCAACTCCTTATGCCCTCTTGGCTCCTTTTTAGAGACCTCTGACATAATCATCTCTATTTTGGATTTCTTTTCACTCTATCTATTATCTATATATCTATCTATAGTATATGTGTGTATGCATAAATACTGTTAAGAATTCCTTTGTATTTCACAGAATGCATAGATTAATTGGAAGAGATTTTCCTGTTTTTAATTTTTAATTTTATGTTGAGTCCTCTGATCCAGAGACTGTCTCTCCATTTATCCAGGTGTTCTTTTATATCCTTTTTTTTTTTTTTTTTTTTGAGACAGGGTCTTGCTCTGTCACCCAGTCTGGAGTGCAGTGGCATAATCTTGGCTTACTGCAACCTCTGCCTCCTGGGCTCAGGTGATCCTCTCACCTTAGCCTCCCAAGTAGCTGGGACTACAGGCATGCACCACCCACCACACCCAGCTGGTTTTTCTTTTTCTTTTTTTTTTTTTTTGAGACAGAGTCTTACTCTGTAGCCCAGGCTGGAGTGCCGTGGCTCAATCTCAGTTCACTGCAACCTCTGCCTCCCCAGTTCCGGTTCAAGCAGTTTTCCTGCCTCAGCCTCCTGAGTAGCTGAGATTACAGGCGTGTACCACCATGCCCAGTTAATTTTTTTTTTTTTTTTTTTTTGAGACAGACTCTCGCTCTGTTGCCGGGCTGGGGTGCAGTGGTGCAATTTCAGCTCACTGTAACCTCTGCCTCCTGGATTCAAGCGATTCTCCTGCCTCAGCCTCCTGAGTAGCTGGGATTACAGGCGCACACCACGCCCAGTTAATTTTTGTATTTTTAGTAGAGACAGGGTTTCACCACATTGGCCAGGATGGTCTTGAACTCCTGACCTCGTGATTCACCCGCCTAAGCCTCCCAAAGTGCTGGCATTACAGGTGTGAGCCACCATGCCTGGCCTAGTTTTTGTATTTTTAGTAGAGATGGGATTTCATCGTGTTGTCCAGGCTGGTCTCAAACTCCTGTGCTCAAGTGATCCTCGCGCCTCAACCTCCCTAAGTGCTGGGCTTACAGGCATGAGCCATTGCACCTGGTTGTTTATATCTTTTTATACAATCATACAGTTTTATGCAGTCTTTGTAGGTAGTCTAGTTTCTCCTGCTATTGTAAGGAAACTTTTCCATTGTGTTTCCTGATTTATTATTTTGTCCTATATATTTAGTTGTGATAAGTATATATAACATAAAACTTTGCCATTTTAGGCCAGGCACAGTGGCTCATGCCTGTAATCCCAGCACTTTGGGAGGCTGAGGCAGGTGGATCACAAGGTCAGGAGTTCAAGATCAGCCTGACCAATATGGTGAAACCCGTCTCTACTAAAAAAATACAAAAATTAGCCGGGCATGGTGGCGTGTGCCTGTAATCCCAGCTACTCAGGAGGTTGAGGCAGGAGAATTGCTTGAACCCAGGAGGCAGAGGTTGCAGTGAGCTAAGATCGTGCCACTGCACTCCAGCCTAGGCAACAGAGCAAGACTCCATCTCAAAAAAAAAATTTGCCATTTTAACAATACTTAAGTTGTTAAGTATTGTTAAAATGGCAAATTTTTATGTTATATATATCACAACTAAATATATAGGACAAAAGGATAAATTCACTATTTCCAATCTACTTAATACAATAATTCAGCATTAAGTATTGTGATTTCTCTGAAATGTATATTTGGTCTTCATCTTGTTTCTGGGCACACAACTTCTAAAATCCTTAGAATCTTCATTTAAAAAAACTATTTATTTATTAAAAAAAATAAAGACAGTGTCTCCCTATGTTGCCCAGGCTGGTCTCGAACTCCTGGGCTCAAGGGAACCTCCTGCCTTGGCCTCCCAAAGTGCTAAGAATACAGGCGTGAGCCACCATGCCCGGCCTCCTTAGAATCTTCAAAGTGATGTGTCTTTTTGTATGCTAACGAGTTGACTTAAATTTGGCAGCCTCTAGGTAGCTTCAGTGGGGTCTGGTTACCTCAAAAACCAACGTCAGAATAAGAATTGGGACTTTCAGCCCCACCCCTCAACCTCCAGGGAGCAAAGAAGGGCTGAAGGTTAAGTTGATCACCAAAGGCAAATGATTTAATCAATCATGCCTACGTACTGAACGTACTGAAACTTACATAACAAGAGAACAGGGTTCTGCGAGCCTTGGAATAGCTGAACATGTGGAAGTTCCTGGAGTGTGGCGCACCTAGAGAGGGCAAGGAAGCTCTCCATCCTTTGCCCCATACCTCGCCCTATGCATTGCTTCCTCGGTATCCTTTGTAATATCCTTCATAATAAATTGGTAAATGTGTTTTCCTGAGTTCTGTGAGCTGCTTTAGCAAATTAATCCAACCCAAAGACAGGCAACATAGTGAGATTCCTGTCTCTACAAAAAATTTTTTCAAAAAATTAGCTGGGCATGGTCGTGCACAGCTGCAGTCCCAGCTACTTTGGGAGGCTGAGGTGGGAGGACTGACTGAGGCCAGGAGTTCGAGACTGCAGTGAGCTGTGATCACACCACTGCACTCCAGCCTGGGCAACAGAGTAGTAATCTCTTTTTTTTTTTTTTTTTTTTTTTTTTTTTTTGAGAAGGAGTCTCGCTCTGTCACCCGGGTGGGAGTGCAGTGGTGCTATCTCGGCTCACTGCAAGCTCCACCTCCTGGGTTCATGCCATTCTCCTGCCTCAGCTTCCCCAGTAGCTGGGACTACAGGCGCCCGCCACCACGCCCGGCTAATTTTTTGTGTTTTTAGTAGAGACGGGGTTTCACCGTGTTAACCAGGATGGTCTCGATCTCCTGACCTCGTGATCCGCCCGCCTCGGCCTCCCAAAGTGCTGGGATTACAGGCGTGAGCCACTGTGCCCGGCCTGTCTCTTCTTTTTTTTTTTTGAGGTGGAGTCTCGCTCTGTTGCCCAGGCTGGAGTGCAGTGGTGCCATCTCGGCTCACTGCAAGCTCTGCCTCCTGGGTTCATGCCATTCTCCTGCCTCAGCCTCCTGAGTAGCTGGGACTACAGGCACCTGCCACCACGCCCGGCTAATTTTTTTTTGTATTTTTTTAGTAGAGACGGGGTTTCACCGTGTTAGCCAGGATGGTCTCGATGGGGTTGAACTAGGTGGCCTCTAAATATCTTTGCATCCCTGAACAGCAGCATTATACATTTAGCCCTTAACTGGAAGCCCTCAAGGAAACCCAGACTCTGTGCTTCCTCCTTCATACCTGTCAGGCCACTGAATATGACTTTTCATTTCTAGGCTACTTGCCTTTTCCTTTTTTCTTCTTTTTGTCTGCCTTCCTCCCTTCTCTCCCTGTTTTCTTCCTTCCTCCTCTTTCTTTCATTATCATGAAAAAATTTATCTCACATAATGAGAAGTCTGGGTGAAAACAATGCTGCCTTTTAATGGGTTTGGTGCAAAAGTAACTGTGGTTTTTGACATTAAAAGTAACGGCAATGGCCGGGCGCAGTGGCTCACACCTATAATCCCAGCACTTTGGGAAGCCAAGGCGGTGGATCACCTGAGGTCAGGAGTTCGAGACCAGCCTGGCCAACATGGCAAAACCCCGTCTCTACTAAAAAATACAAAAATTAGCCGGGTGTGATGGTGGGCGCCTGTAATCCCAGCTACTCAGGAGGCTGAGGCAGGAGAATCATTTGAACCCAGAAGGCAGAGGTTGCAGTGAGCAGAGATCATGCTGTTGCACTCGGCCTGGGCAACAAGAGCCAAACTCTGTCTCAGAAACAAAAAACAAATGGATGGCAATAACTTAATATGAAATGTATACTTTTTTTGAAAATCTTTTGGGGAAAGGAAAACACCTTGTGATTTTGATTACCCTGAGGATGTCCTAGGTATGGCTTGGGGATTTATGTAACTTTAAGGACCACCCTAGAGTAAGCATGTTAATTATGGTGGCTTTTGTCCACTAACTTCAGAAGTAGCCATTAAATAAAGCTGCAACCTAAGTCCTCAGTTTCCTAATCCTCCCTAGGGATTTATTAAGTTTACTTGTTATGGGATGTTTTTATATGACCAATCTTTATATTTCAACCATCTTGCCTCAGTTACCTCTTCTTGAGTCTTTTCCCACATCCAACTTGTCCTTGGTTTACATCAACCCTTCCAAACTCATACCCTACTGGCTGGTCTATTTTTTTTCCCAGTCTTACTTATTACCATTCCAGTTCAGGCCTTACACTGCAGCCTCACATACCTCACATACACCATAATATATGATGTAGGCAGTAAAAATTGTTTAAACCCTGGCTTCATGGAGTTTGGAATCTTTGGGGAAGCAAGATACATAGACATAAAACTATTATGAATCAATATAGTCTATGGTTGCTTTGAAAATGAGAATGATATAGAGTGTAAAGTCTCTCATCACATGCTATGAATAATGAAAGATTTTAAACCAAAAAAATAGAAAGTATAAAGATGGTGGCCGGGCGTGGTGGCTCACACCTGTAATCCCAGCACTTTGGGAGGCCAAGGCAGGTGCATCACCTGAGGTCAGGAGTTTGAGACTAGCCTGACCAACATGAAGAAACTCTGTCTTTACTAAAGATACAAAACATTAGCTGGGCATATTGGGGTATACCTGTAATCCCAGCTACTCGGGAGGCTAAGGTAAGAGAATTGCTTGAACCCAGGAGGTGGAAGTTGCGGTGAGCCAAAATTGTGCCATTGCACTGCAGCCTGGGCAACAAGAGTGAAAATGACCCAAAAAAAAAAAAAAAAAGATGGTAAGGAGATTTTACAAACTATAGATTTTTACATTTAAAGAATCCTCAAATTAAAAGACAAATAGAGAACAAAAATTTAAACAAGATGACAAATGGTTAATATCCTTAAGATAGAGAGCTGAATATTAAAAAGTCTTTATGTTATTAGGAAAAGTTCTACAGCCATAGTAACAAGTAAGTAGCAGAACTGGCTTAACCCACTGAAATCAATGGCAGCTTGCTTTGGTGAAAATGTCTTCAAAAACCAACTAATCAGAGACAGCTCAATGTCTGAAACGCAGCTAGTCAGCAACAGTCTTGCCAGGACAAGCTACTCTAGTCTCTGTAACTAACACAAGGCATAGTTCTATGATCCACTATTGCCTCTATAATCAATACAACTGTAAGGGTTTAAGGAAGAAGAAAGAAACACAAAAAGGGGCTCAATAATCACAGACAAGTGTATTTTGGAGAATAAACCTGAGAGGGGATTCTGGCTGGTTTAGGTCGGGGCCTTCTCTCTTATAGACTAAGAATATTTAAGGGTTTAGGGAGGGAGAGCTTATCGCAGATTTGGAATATTTCTGGGTGGAGGAGAGTTTTATTGTGGGGTTGGCATGTTTCTGGTCGGAGGGGGATTTATCTTGGGGTTGGAACATTTCCGGTTGGAGGTGTCATTTAATGGTCATGCTGACATTGGCCATTAGGGTGATGTTTCTGGGGCTGGATTAGGCGTTTTTTAATCAAGGGCAACTTAAAATGGCAGTGTTTGTCCAAGATGGTGATGCTCTTGCTCTGTCAATCCAGATCCTATAGTTATAGAAGGACAAGGGGCGGTGTGTTCTTTCTGGCTACTTCCTGCTAAGGGGAGGAGTGCGGAGAGTTCTTTGATCTCAGATTGACTGTAGGACTAATGCTGTCTGTAGATGTTTTTGGGTAGTTGTCTGTGAAATGGCCATGATCCTGTCAGTTAAAAATCTTTGAAAAAGGTTAATTAGGCAGGGTAAAAACATTAGTCCTAGGCACATCATTAGGAGAGGGCCCAGGAATGGGATGACCCATGTTGTGATTTTGTTCCAAAACCAACAATCTATTTGGTTGTTTTGGTATTCCCTTAGTCTTTTAGCCCTTTCTGTAAGTTTTTCAGCAGCATCTCTTACTAGGCTTGATTGGTTGAGGTATAGGCAACATTCCTCATCCAACGAGAGGCAGAGGCCATTTAAGATCTCCTTTTTCAGCCATTATAAGATCTAGTCCCCCTCTATTTTGGAGGATTACTCCAGCCAAGCAGTCTAGTTGGTCTTGGACTCTTATAAGACTTTGGGCTGTATCTTCTAAAGAACGCTGTAGTTCTGTTGAAAGAGCTTTAAAGTATGTTAAGGAGGTGGCCAATCTGCCTGCTCCCAATCTAAGTCCGGCGGTTATACCCAAGGTGGCCATCAAGGGAATGACATGGAAAGCCCTCCTCTTCCTAACATATTGGGCAGATGGAATGGGCAAAGGTTGACTAGGAGGAATTAGTCCAATGCAGGGAGAAAGATAAACTAGAGTACATGTTCTGGTACAGTTGGTGGGGAGACAAAGATATGTACTGGTTCCATATAAAAATAATAAGACTTGGCTGGGTGCGGTGGCTCACACCTGTAATCCCAGTACGTTGGGAGGCTGAGGCAGGCAGATCATGAAGTCAAGAGATCAAGACCGTCCTGGCCAACACGGTGAAACCCCGTCTCTACTAAAAATACAAAAAAAAAAAAAAAATAGCCGGGCTTGGTGGCACACGCTTGTAGTCCCAGCTATTCGGGAGGCTGAGGCAGGAGAATCACTTGAACCCAGGAGGTGGAGGTTGCAGTGAGCCAAAATTGTGCCACTGCACTCCAGCCTGGGCAACAGAGTGAGACTTTGTCTCAAAAAAAAAAATAAAATAAAATAAAAAATAAGCCTTGTTGTAAATATAGGCAGAGATATGGAAAGAAAGCAAGTGAATTAAGGCTGAAGTGTCTTTTCTTTCCTGTGGTTCATTACTCCAGATGGACAAGGAGGAGGCCAGAGAGACATCCACTATAGTAGAGATATAGGAAGAGTTATTCTTTATACATTTAATACAATCAGATGTTGCACCATTGATATTGAGCCATGAATAAAGCGGGCACTAGGGACAGCACAAATTAGGTCAGAGGCATCGGTTGAGGGAGAGGCTGTAAAACGAGCCAGTTGTGGAAATGCCCCATTTGCATCAGGTGATATGTGATAGTCAACTCGGTTAGTGTGATGGTCAGAGGGGTGTTTAACAATGATAGTGCATTGGTTAGGTGTTAAGGACCCTACAGGGAAATTTCCCTCACAGGCTGAAAAGCAAAGTGAGGCTTGTTGTAAAAGGGCGGTGTGTTTAGTTATGGGCCCTTCAATGGGAGGGCCTTGGGGCTTGAGGCATTGTAGGGAGTTGTAATAGGTTTGAAATGATTTGTTGGCTTGATTGGCCCTGGAAGGGGCATAATCACCTACCAGGGCGTCAGCTCTTTCAAAAAAGGAAGCTCCTTTTTGGAGTTTATAGATTATGGTTATGTTTCCTGTTAAAAGGTCATGAAAGGGTGTAGGAAGGGCTGTATAGGCTGAGGAAGACAGTGATAAGCACATCCAGGATTCTGGAGCAAAGGAAGAGTTAGCTTGCAGCATGAGGGATTGTGTAAGGTTTATAGAGCATTCCAGTTTGAGAGCAGTGAGGAGTGGTTGTATTGGTAAGGTTGATGTGATTACAGAATTTATATTGAAAGAAACAAGCAAAAGGAGAAAAAGGTTATTTGAGTAGGAGTAAAGTCCTGGAAAATTCCTTGAAGCCGTAAGTCCCATAGAATAGTAAGGAGCTGATCAGGATGGATAATGGGAGTTTCATAATGGTACCAATAAAGGTCTGTAACAAGATTGGTTGGGAAGCAATGAAAGTTTGAGAGAGAAAGAGACATAGCAGCTTATGTAAATTTCTCTTCCTTTTCCTCCAGGATTTGGTGAGGCGAAGGGAAGTGGGTCCTGTGGAGACACAAGAGAAGGCTGAAGGGGGTTTTGATTTGGTTGTTTTGGTATGTAGTGAAGTCTGTTGTCTTGAGAGATGTATAATGAAACCAGCTGGGGAGTCCCTGGGGTTTTGCTCCTGTGGTGTTGCAGGAATCAAGGGACAGAAGAGACCAATGGGTGGGACAGGAGGATTTATTAGGTGTGTACCAGCCCAGAGGATTAACATCCAAAGGCTGAGCCCCGAACAAAGACAGGGCTTGACTTTTATACATGCATCCAAAAGGGGGTTGGCTATACATGCATCCAAAAAGGGGCTCACCAGTTTGATGGTGCAAAACCTGTAGGGCGGGCAAGCAGGCTTACAGAAGCAGAACAAAGGCAGTTTGTGAAACAGTGACAGATTGTGCAACTTAAACATATCTTGTGACCTTATACAGAAGGAAAAACAGGAACTTACAAAACTTTGCAAAATAATTATGAGAATGGTAAGGGGGGAAGGGGAAGCTGAAAGAGGAGAAAAACTTGTTTTTCTCACCCCTGCTCCAAGATGGGAGGGAGAGGCTCTGGGGCTCATCCCTTGAGGGCCCTGGCTCTGCAGACAGGGCTATCAAAGCCCTGCCAGAGCCCTGCCTATCGCTGAGCCTCAAAGTGAGTTAGCCTAGTACAAGAAACTTTTTTTTTCCTGCTTAAGTGGGTGTAGTAAAGATGATCTGGTAAGACCCATTCCATTTAAGTGTGAGGGGAGGATTGAGGAGAGGACTGGGATCTTTTACCAGAACCCAGTCTCCTGGCTGTAGGAAGTGATTAGAGAAGTCGGCGATGGGTCGTGTCAGGTATTCGTCAGCATATTCCCAAATGAAATGGCAGATGGTATGTAGAAGTGGGGAAATGAGGCCAGGCACGGTGGCTCACACCTGTAATCCCAGCACTTTGGGAGGCTGAGGCGGGTGGATCACGAGGTCAGGAGTTCGAGACCAGCCTGGTCAATGTGGTGAAACCCCGTCTCTACTAAAAATACAAAAATTAGCCGAGCGTGATGGCATGCACCTGTAATTCCATCTACTTGGGAGGCTGAGGCAGGAGAATTGCTTGAACCTGGGAGGCAGAGGTCACAGTGAGCCAAGATCTTGCCGCTGCACTCCAGCCTGGGTCTCAAAAAAAAAACAGTAACAAAAAAGGTTTTAAAATTAGCTGGTTGCAGTGGTGTTTGCCTGTAGTCCTAGCTACTCAGGAGGCTGACGTGGGAGGATCATTTGAGCCCAGGAGTTCAAGGCTGCCGTAAGCTATGATCATGCCGCTGCACTCCAGCCTGGGTAACAGTGAGACCCCTGTTTCTGAAAAAGAAACAGAAAAACAAACCCCAAACAGCCAGTCTCTGTAACTGTGAGAAATAAATTTCTGTTATTTAAGTACTCAGCCTATGATATATTTGTTACAGCAGCCTAAACTGACTGAGACAACTACTAAGGCATTTAGTTTATTTACCTTTAATGAAATTAGTCTCAAAAAATCTATTGCCCTAGTTTATACTATCTTTCACTTCCTATTCTTTTTCTTTTGAGAGAGAGTCTCGCTCTGTCACCTAGGCTGGAGGGCAATGGTGTGATCTCGGCTCACTGCAACCTCCGCCTTCCGGGCTCAAGTGATCCTTTTGCCTCAGTCTCCTGAGTAGCTGGGATTACAGGCGTGTACCACCATCCCCAGCTAATTTTTATATTTTTAGTAGAGACGGGATTTTGCCATGTTGGCCAGGCTGGTCTCAAACGCCTATCCTCAAGTGATCTGCCAGCCTTGGCTTCCCAAAGTGCTTGGATTACAGGCATGAGCCACCATGCCTGGCCTTCCTATTTTTTTTTTTTGACTCTTTTTTGGTATTAATTATATTCTTCCTTGCTAGTTTGGAAGTTAAATACTCTATTCAGGTTTGAGATGCTTTTTTTGCCTTTTGTTTTTTGGGTTGATTTTTTTTGGTTGTTACCCTATAAGCTGCATTGTGATTACTTAAATTACAAAGTTAATCTATTTCTTTATCTCCTCCAGAACACAGACCTGTCATATGTTTTAATATTATCTTTTTTCTTTCAAATTTAACTATTACTAAACATTATCATTGTTTTATAGTTAATATTTTATACTTACCCAAAGTCTTTTTTACATGTTGTTTCTTCTTGTAGCTTCATTTAGGATCAATTTCCTTCTAGCTAAAATATATACTTTAGATTTTTCCTATAGGGAGAGTTTGCTGGCGAAAGAGTGAGTTTTATTTGTCTGAAACAATTTTATTTTGTCTTCATTAAAACAAATTTTAGGGCCGGGAGAGGTGGCTCACGCCTGTAATCCCAGCACTTTGGGAGGCCAAGTCGGGCAGATCACAAGGTCGGGAATTCGAGACCAGCATGGTGAACATGGTGAAACCCCGTCTCTATAAAAAATACAAAAATTACCTGGGCATCATGGCACATGCCTGTAATCCCAGCTACTCGGGAGGCTGAGGCAAGAGAATCACTTGAACCTGGGAGGCAGAGGTGGCAGTGAGCTGAGATTGAGCTCAAAAAAAAAAAAATTTAATTGGGTTTAGAATTCCAAATTTTCAGTTGCTTTTCCTCAGCAATTTGAAGATAACATTTCACTATCTTCCAGCTTACATTGTCTTTAAGCCAGCTGTCACTAACTCAGCTTCTTTTGAGATGATCTCCTTGCTGGCGCAGTAGCTCACACCTATAATCCCAGCACTTTGGGAGGCCAAGGTGGGTGGATCACCTGAGGTCAGGAGTTCGAGACCAGCCTGGCCAACATGGTGAAACCCCGTCTCTACTAAAAATACAAAAAAAAAAGTAGCTGGACATGGTGGTGGGTGCCTGTAATCCCAGCTACTTGGGAGGCTGAGGCAGGGAGAATCGCTGGAACCCGGTAGGCGGAGGTTGCAGTGAGCCGAGATCGAGCCATTGCATTCCAGCCTGGGTGAAAGAACAAGACTCTGTCTCAAAAAGAAAAAAGAAGATAATCTCCTTTCTCTCCTGCTGTTTTATAATCATTCTTTGTCATTGTTGTTCTGAAATTTCACCATTTTATGTCTGTGTGTGGGTTTCTTTTCTATGTACATAGACATACCTATGTACATAGACTGAAACTTATGCACATAGGTTTATTAAGATATATTCATAGGTTATAAACATATATACATAGGTTGTAAACATATAAACATAGCCTAAAAAAAATATAAAGCAAAAACATCACAAGAAGAAACAAGCTGGGTATGGTGGCTCATGCCTGTAATCCCAACAATTTGGGAGGCCGAGGTGGGCAGATCACCTGAGATCGGGAGTTTGAGACCAGCCTGACCAACATGGAGAAACCCCATCTCTACTAAAAATACAAAATTAGCCGGGCATGGTGACGGATGCCTGTAATCCCAGCTACTCAAGAGGTTAAGGCAGGAGAATCACTTGAACCTGGGAGGTGGAGGTTGTGGTGAGCCGAGATTGCGTCACTGCACTCCAGCCTGGCAACAGAGTGAGACTCTATCTCCAAAAAAAAAAAAAAGAAGAAACAGACAAATTTATATTCAATCATATTGGAGGATTTGAAAATTAATAATTGACAGAAAATGTTCATCGAGTAGATTTGATAAACATGATTACATATTTACTATGGTAGAAGCATAGAACGCTATACTAACAACTGCAAAAATCACATTCTTTTTAAGCACGCAAAATTTTTATTAATTGAAGACAGATTGTCTGTAAATCAAATCTCAAGAAAATTGACAGAATTAAAATGAGGACATTCTCTGACCATAGGCACATGTCAGAGATATTATAGGTTCAGTTCCAGATCATTGCAATAAAACAAACATCACAGTAAAGTAAGTCACACAATTTTTTTTGGTTTCCTAGTACATAAAGTTATTTTTAAACTATAATGTAGTCTATTTAGTATGCAATGGCATTATGTCTAAAAATATACCTTATTTTAAAAATAGTTTATCAGTAAAAAATGCTGACACAACGACACAAAAGTGAGCACATGCTGTTGGAAAAATGGCACTGATATACTTGCTCAACACAAGGTTGCCGCAAACCTTCGATTTGTAACAAAAATACAATCTAGAAAGCATGATAAAATGAAGTGCAATAAAATAAGGTATGCCTATGTATAATGCTATTAAGCTACAAATAAACAATAAAAAAAGCTAAAAAATTTCCTTTATGTGCTAGGAAATAAGAAAGACACAAATTAAACATTTTGAATGTAATAAACAGTATTACAGATGACGGCCGGGCACGGTGGCTCACGCCTGTAATCCCAGCACTTTGCGAGGCCGAGGCGGGCGGATCACGAGGTCAGGAGATCGAGACCATACTGGCTAACAAGGAGAAACTCCGTCTCTACTAAAAGTACAAAAAATTAGCCGGGCGTGGGGGCGGGCGCCTGTAGTCCCAGCTACTCGGGAGGCTGAGGCAGGAGAATGGCGTGAACCCGGGAGGCGGAGCTTGCAGTGAGCCGAGATGGCACCACTGCACTCCAGCCTGGGCGACAGAGCGAGACTCTGTCTCAAAAAAAAAAAAAAAGTATTACAGATGACAACTGTGGGATGCAGCTACGTAGTGTGTAGAAAGAAATGTATAAACTTGGCCGGGCGCAGTGGCTCATGCCCGTAATCCCAACATTCTGGGAGGCTGAGGAGGGCGGATCACCTGAGGTCAGGAGTTTCAGACCAGCCTAGGCAACATGGCGAAACCCTGTCTCTACTAAAAAATGCAAAAAATGGCTCGGTGTGGTGGCAGGTGCCTGTAATCCCAGCTGCTCGGGAGGCTGAGGCAGGAGAATCACTTGAACCCAGGAGGCGGAGGTTGCAGTGAGCCGAGATAGCCCCACTGCACTCCAGCCTGGGCGACAGAGCGAGACTCGGTCTCAAACAAAAACAAAAACAAACAAACAAAAAATAAATGTATAAACTTAAAAGACTTATATTAGTAAGTAATCATTTATAATAAGTCAGAAAAACAGAAAATAAATCCAAAGTAAAAGGAACAAAGCAGTTATTTTAAAAGACTACACAAAATTTGGCAAGAATGATCAACAACAAGAGAGAAATGTGAACATACATTTTACCAAATAAGTTATGTGAATGGCAAAAAACCAACATGAAATGATGCTCCACATCACTTGGTCATTGGGGAAATGTGAATTAAAACCATGAGGAAATATACTTCACACCCCCCCAAATACCACCTGTACCGCAATAACTTATGGAAATATAATAATAAGAAAATAAAAACTATACTTCACACCCACTAAAATGACTCAAATTAAAAAGACTAACAATATCAGGCGTGGAAGAGAATTTGGAGCATCAGGAACATTGCCGGTAAGAATGAAAATGGTATGTTCCTTAGTCCATTTTCTGATGCTATCATAGAATACCCTAGACTGGGTAAATTATAATAAAACAAAATTTCTTTCTTTCTTTTTTTTTTTTTGAGACAGAGTCTCGCTCTGTCGCCCAGGCTGGAGTGCAGTGGCGCCATCTCGGCTCACTGCAAGCTCCTCCTCCCAGGTTCACGCCATTCTCCTGCCTCAGCTTCCCGAGTAGCTGGGACTACAGGCACCTGCTACCACACCCAGCTAATTTTTTGTATTTTTAATAGAGACGGCGGTTTCACTGTGTTAGCCAGGATGGTCTCAATCTCCTGACCTCGTGATCCGCCCACCTCGGCCTCCCAAAGTGTTGGGATTACAGGCGTGAGCCACAGAGACTGGCTTTTTTTTTTTTTTTTTTAAGAAGGGGTCTCACTCTGTCACCCAGGCTGGAGTACAGCCGCGCAATCTCGGTTCACTGTAACCTCCACCTCCCGGATTAAAGGGATTCTCCTGCTTCAGCCTCCCAAGTAGCTGGGATTACAGGCACCACCACGCCCGGCTAAATTTTGTATTTTTAGTAGAGACAGGGTTTCACCATTTGGCCAGGCTGGTCTTGAACTCCTGACCTCAAGTGATCCACCCGCCTTGGTCTCCCAAAGTGCTGGGATTACCGGTGTGAGCCACCTCACCCAGACGAAATGTATTTGGTAAAGTTCTGGAAACTGGCAAGTGCTTGGATTCAAGGACAAGGAGTCACAACTGCAGGGGGCCTTCTTGCTGTGTCATAACATGTGAAGGCATCACAGGATAAGAAGAGTGCAAGGCTGGCTTTTATCACAAACCCGCTCTTGAGATAACTTATTCCCTTCCACTATAACCCCACTAATCTGTTAATTCATGAAAAGATTAATCCATTCATGAGGGCTTAAGGTCTGTCTCTTAAAATTCTCACCTCCCCTTTTTTTTTTAGAGTCAAGATTTTGCTCTGTTGCCCAGGCTGGAGTGCAGTGGCATGATCATGGCTCACTGCAGCCTTGACCTCCTGAGCTCAAGGTATCCTCCCACCTCAGCCTCCTGAGTAGCTAGGACCACAGGTGTGTGCCACCATGTCTGTCTAATTTTTAAATGTTTTGTACAGATGGGGTCTTACTACATTGACCAGGCTGGTCTTGAACTCCTGTCCTCAAGCAATCCTCTTGCGCTGGCCTCCTAAAGTTCTGGGATTACAGACGTGAGCCACCATGCCTAGCCTGGTCCCACCTCTTAATAGAGTCGCCATGGTAATTAAATTCCAACATCAGTTTTGGAGGGACACAAACCACAGTGGTATGAATACTTTGAAAAGAGTTTGGTGGTTTCTGATTATGTGAAAGACAGAGTTACCACATGACCCAGCAATCCAACTGTTACGTACTTCCCCAAAAGAAATGAAAACATGTCCACACAAAGACTTGTGTGCAACTGTTCATTGGAGTTTTTTTCATAGTATGTATCTCCCAACTGGAAACAACCAACTGGTGAATGGATACACTGTTTTACATCCATACAATGCAAAGCTACTTACCAAAAAGAGCTACTTTAGATTTTTCTGTTTGTGAGCCAAAACAAAATAGAAACACACAAACAAAAAACCTACCAATACACATCACAACATGTATGAATCTCGAAAGCATTATGCTGAAGACAGCTGGGTGTGGTGACTCACACCTGTAATCCCAGCACCTTGGGAGGCCGAGTGGGGTGGATCACTTGAGGTCAGGAGTTTGTGACCAGCCTGGCCAACATGGTGAAAGTCTGTCTTTACCGAAAATACAAAAATTAGCCAGGTGTGGTGGTGGGCGCCTGTAATCCCAGCTACTCTGGAGGCAGAGGCACGAGAATCGCTTGAACCTGGGAGGTAGAGGTTGCAGCGAGCCCAGATCACACTGGTGCACTCCAGCCTAGCAGGATTGTCTCAAAAAAAAAAAAAAAAAAAAGCATTATGCTAAATACAAGGAGCCAGACACCGAAGATTCTACGATATCATTCCACATTTATAAAATTTTAGAAAAGGCAAATATTGTATATAGTGATAGAAAGCAGACTGATGGTTAGATTAATGTGAAATATTTTGCCACATAATGCAATGGAAATAACATAAATAAAAATAAACAAAAAAGTCAGTGTCTATCATCAAGATAGCTTCTAAGGAAGCTTCTACTGATATTTACAATTTATTGTCTATATCAAAGGCTATTTTATTTGTGGCTTTTTGGAGAGGCCAGTGGAGATTACAGCTCTGCCAGATTACTTTTTTGTGAAGCAATTTGCAATCACATTCTTGTTATATGGAGAAAAATCCTTGTTCTTGAAGGGAATTCTTAAAGGGAAGGGATGGTTGCTGTCTTGCTCTTCTTCATTTTTCCTGCAGATATCTAATGTATATTCACTTGAAGTAAGTCTTATTTGGGGAGTGTAGCAATATGTCAAGGCACTTAACATTGTGTCAAGGGTCACAGTGCCAAGCACCATGTCAAGGCAGAGGGAAGATGATTGATGATGTATCCTGAAGAATACTGCAGTCAAAGCTTGGAGAATGAGTTGAGTGCTGTGGAAACCCTGATGACAGGGACTACAATGAGGAAGAAGACCCAGAGCAGCGAAAGCTTTGGCAATCTGGCCAGGGAGACTATTGGATAACTAGGTATCCTGGATTTATGCAAAGGCTCTACAATGAGATTACTCAGTTTATAATTTGGATTAACCTGTCGTTTCTGTGGGCTCACCCAGGAATTTTCCTTACAGTATGATGTAGGGAAATGCCTTTGACCACTCCCCTATCTCTTTATCAATACCAGGGTCACACCTCTACCTAGCCTCCTTCCTTCCTTCCTTCCTTTCTTTTCTTCTTTCTTTCTCTTTCTTTTCTTTCTTCTTTCTTTTCTTTCTTCTTTCTTTTCTTCCTTTCTTCTTTTTCTTTCTTTTTCTTTCCTTCTTGCTTCCTTCCTTCCTTTGTTCTTTCCTTACTTCTTACTTCTTTTTTTTTTTTTTTTGAGACGGAGTCTTGCTGTCACCCAGGCTGGAATGCAGTGGTACCATCCAGGCTCACTGCAACCTCTGACTCCCGGGTTCAAGTGTTTTTCCTGCCTCAGCCTCCCGAGTAGTTGGGACTACAGGGGTGCACTACCATGCCCGGCTAATTTTTGTATTTTTAGTAGAGACGGGGTTTCACCATGTTACCCAGGCTGGTCTCAAACTCCTGACCTCACGTGATCAACCCGCCTTGGCCTTTCAAAGTGCTGGGATTACAAGGGTGAGACACCACGCCTGGCCCCTTTCTTCTTTTTTTTCCTTCCTGCCTCCTTTCCTCCTTCCTTCCTTCTTTCCAGAAATTAGTGTCAGTTCATCCTGTTTCTTTTTTATTGACTAGATCGGGGTCAGAAAACTGACCTGCAGCCTGTTTTTGTATGACCCATGGGCTAAGAATGGCTTTATCTTTTTAAATGGTGGATAACAAATCCCCAACATGCCTGTCTTTTGAGTTATGCCTCTCCCAGTCCGGATCAGTTGCTTTCTACATTTGCTGTTTTTGATCCTGTGATTTTCCTTCGCCATCACTTTGCGTCTCTCCTGTTTCTTCTATTCCCTTCCCTTTCCCTCCCCTCCCCTCCCCCACTCCCCTTCCTCTCCCTCCTTCCCTCCCTCCCTTCTTTCTTTCTTTCCAGGGGAATTGGCAGGGGAGCAGGAAGTCAAATCATATGTCACCATGTGACTCTTGGGACTCCTTCTTCTCATGTTTCTTCTTCTTTGTAGTAGGGGCAGGGCCAGCAGCAGGAGCTACAGAGCCGGGGCAGCAGAGGCGGCCACAGCCTTGTGGGAGAGCACAATGGCAACTTGCCAATACCCTGGGCAATGACACCTTTAATGTTTTTTCCATTCAGCTCACTGATGATCTTGCTGCACTGGTTGCCATTGGCCTTATTGCTTATATTGTACAGGATCTTCTTGACGTCCTTGGTGCTGGGCAAGGGGTTGCCCCCGAGGGCAGCCAGTAGGTAGGAAGGACGACCTTCTGTGTCCCGGAGGAAAAGAAAGCCACACCTTCCTCTTTTAGTTTGTTTCTTTTCTTATTCCTGTGTTGCTGCTGAGAAACCCAATCCAATTCCGACTCCCCCACCACCCTTTTGTGCCACCCTTCTACCCCTTCTGGAAGCCTGAGAATCTCCTGTTTGTCCTAGATATTTTACATTTCACAATCATATGCTTTAGTGCAGGACAATTTTCATCTATTATGATGGACACTTTCAATTTGGTTCTTCTATTCTGAGTGTGTTTCTTCAACTATTTCTTTTTTTTTTTTTTTTGGAGATGGAGTCTCGCCCTGTTGCCCAGGCTGGAGTGCAGCGGCCCAGTCTCAGCTCACTGCAACCTCCGCCTCCTGGGTTCAAGCGATTCTTCTGCCTCAGCCTCCCAAGTAGCTGCGACTACAGGTGCATGCCACCACACCCAGCTAATTTTTTGTATTTTAGTAGAGACATGGTTTCACTGTGTTGCCCAGGCTGGTCTTGAACTCCTGAGCTCAGGCAATCCGCCCGCCTCAGCCTCCCAAAGTGCTAGGATTTCAGGTGTGAGCCACCACGCCCAGCCTGAACTATTTCATTGTTGATTTCTTCCCCTCTGTTTTACTCTTCCTGGAAATTCTATTATTTGGCTGCTGAACTTCATAGATTTCATAAATTTTCTTACCTTTTTTCTCTCATTTCCTATCTCCTTGTCTTTTTGCCACGCTTTCTGTGTAATTTCCTCAATTTTATCTTTCAATTCTTCATTAAAATGTTCATTTCTTATCATGTCTTTAACGTCTAAAATTTCTTCTTGTTCTCTGAATGTTCCTCTTTTTACAAAATAACATCTTGTTCTTGTTTTCAGAATGCAGTATCTTTTCTTATCTTATCTTTCTCAAGACTGAGAAATGGAAAACTACAGAAACCACAACTTGAAAAACAGTACAGAGACCACAATTTGCAAGACAGATAAACTATGTCAGCAACAGCTCAGCTTGGACCCAGGTGTTCAGGAAACAAAACCACAGACTTTTTCACAGACAGCCTTGCCTAGCCTATCGACACAGTCAGTGACTCAACTTTGCAACTTTTGACCAATTCTTTCCTGCCCTAACTCTACCCTTCCTTCCTGCCCCTCCCCCAACTCTTGTTATCCCCGCCCTAAAAGCATCCTTTGGCTAACGCCTCCTCAGTGAAACTGTATAAAACTCAAATGTTAAAGCTACTCGGCGTCCATTTGACTGACTCCATTTGCTCACTATCTCCCTTGCCTGGCACATTTCTAATAAACTAAGCTTCCTTAGTTATTGTTATTTGTTATTTGTTTGTTCTATGTTTTAACCATAACAGATTTCTTTGCTGCTCTTTTATGAGAAACTTTCTTTTTTTTTGAGACAGAGTCTCACTCCGACGGGGTTTCACCATGTTGGCCAGGCTGATCTCAAACTCCTGACCTCAAGTGATCCGCCCGCCTCAGCCTCCTAAAGTGCTAGGATTACAGGTGTAAGCCACCGGGCCTGGTCTTTTATTTATTTATTTTTTTGAGATGGAGTCTCGCTCTGTCACCCAGGCTGGAATGCAGTGGCGCTCTCGGCTCACTGTAACCTGCACCCCCTGAGTTCAAGTGATTCTCCTGCCTCAGCCTCCTGAGTAGCTGGGACTACAGGCGACCGCCACCATGCCCAGCTAATTTTTGTATTTTCAGTAGAGATGGGGTTTTACCATGTTAGCCAGGATGGTCTCGATCTCTTGACCTTGTGATACACCTCCCTCGGCCTCCCAAAGTGAGTGAGGGAGCCACCGCGCCCAACCGGCACCTGGTCTTTTATGAGAAGCTTTGACTGAACATGAGTTAGTTTTCTTTCATCCACATAGTATTCTGTTTCTCCAAGGTGCTTTCCCTGCTTGTGTGCTTTTTGTCTTGCATGATAGAGGCTTACTTTAGAGTTCTGGTAATTTTTGGTTTCTTACGATGAGGAATGAAGGACTACAGCTGATTGGAAGTTTGCAGTATATGGAGAGCTCTTGTATTTCTGAGTTTACTGTAGGGCCATTTATTTGTTGGGTAATCTTATCAGTTTCTCTTCTTTCCTCTTGGGCTGCTTTGATTCCTGAGAGAAAGGTGTGACAATCCCCTTCCTAGAGGGTAAAGATCTGGCTGACATGGTTTGGGCACTAAATGATTGATGAAGGCTGTGAGGCAGGAGGCAGGGGCTTAGCAATCAGCAAGCATGTGATTGTGTAAACCTCCATTTTTGTTTGGTATCAAAGCTCTCAGCTGTACTTGATGTTTCCCAGTCCACAGACTCCAACTTCTGCTGAAACTAGGGAGAAACAGTCATCCAGCAGCATGAGAGCAGGTAGAAGATCTGGGTCTGTTTGTGATTCTACAATATAATCATTTCTGTTTTCAATTTTTCTCTACTGTTGCCACATAATTCAGCTTTCTCAGTTCTTCTGAGTTAGTCTGCAATCATCTCTTTGCTTTTTAGCTTTCAAAGGTTTATCATCGGCCAGGTGCAGTGTGGCTCATGCCTGTAATCCCAGCATTCGGGAGGCTGAGGCAGGCAGATCACCTGAGGTCAGGAGTTCGAGACCATCCTGGCCAACATGGTGAAACCCCGTCTCTACTAAAAATACAATAATTAGCCATGTGTGGTGGCATGCGCCTGTAGTCCCAGTTACTGCAGAGGCTGAGGCAGGAGAATGGCTAGAACCCAGGAGGTGGAGGTTGCAGTGAGCCAAGCTTGTGCCACTGCAATCCAGCCTGGTGACAGAGTGAGACTCTATCTCAAAAAAAAAAAAAAAAAAAAAAAAAAAGAAAAAAGAAATGTGAAGACAGGAGATTTGAGAGGGGCCAGGGGCAGAATTATAGGGTTTGGCTGTGGCTGCACCCAAATCTCATCTTGAATTTTAGTTCCCATAGTCCCCACATGTTGTGTAAGGGACCCGGTGGGATGTAATTGAATCATGGTGGCAGTTTCTCCCATGCTATTGTTGTGATAGTAAGTTCTCACGAGATTTGATAGTTTTATAAGGAGCTTGCTGCTTCACTTGACCCTCATTCTCCTTCCTGCTGCCCTGTGAAGAAGAACATGTTTGCTTCCCTTTCCACCATGATCATCAGTTTCCTAAGGCCTCCTCAGCCATGCTGAACTGTGAGTCAGTTAAACTTCTTTCCTTTCTAAATTACCCAGTCTTGGATGTGTTCTTAGTATGAGAGTAGTATGAGAAAGGACTAATACAAGCTATTTCAATAAGCCATAAAAAGCAGTAAAAAGGCCAGACAGGGCCAGGCACGGTGGCTCATGCCTGTAATCTCAGTGCTTTGGGAGGCTGGAGGCAGGTGGACCACCTGAGGTCAGGAGTTCAAGACCAGCCTGGGCAAAATGGTGAAATGCCATCTCTACTAAAAATACAAAAAATTAACCAGATGTGGTGGCAGGCATCTGTAGTCCCAGCTACCTGGGAGGCTGAGGCAGGAGAATTGCTTGAACCCAGGAGGCAGAGGTTGCAGTGAGCTGAGATCGCGCCACTACACTCCAGCCTAGGTAACAGAGCAAGATTCTGTCTCAAAACAAAACAAAACAAAAAATGGGTCAGGCACAAAGGCTCATGCCTGTAATCCCAACACTTTGTGAGGCTGAGGTGGGAGGATCACTTGAGTCCCAGTATTTAAGACCAGCCTGGGCAACATAATGAGACGCATCTCTATTTATATAATCAAAAAAGAAAAAAGAAAAAAAAGGCAATATTCCTTTAACAGTGTGAGTGTCTCAATGAAATGGAATGGAAATCAGGTATTTCCATTCCCCTAGAGTTGTTTTTTTTTTTTTTTTCTCCCTCTGTTGCCCAGGCTGGAGTGCAGCGGCTCGATCTCTGCTCACTGCAACTTCTGCCTCCCGGGTTCAAGCGATTCTCCTGCCTCAGCCTCCTGAGTAGCTGGGATTACAAGTGCGTGCCACCACGCCTGGCTAATTTTTTGTATTTTTAGTAGAGATGGGGTTTCACCATCTTATCCAGGATGGTCTCTATCTCCTGACCTCGTGATCCGTCCACCTCGGCCTCCCAAAGTGCTGGGATTACAGGCATGAGCCACTGCGCGTGGCCGAGCATCTCTTATTTTCTCCACCCACAGGTAAAGAATACTTTCACCAATATTCTGAATTGTATTTTCTCAAGCCCATTTGATAAATCTGCACATTCTTGTCCTTTAAGCCAAGAGTCTTACCTACTAATAAGTAGGTGGAGCTGTACCTGTATATTAATTCAGTAGCATCACCTATGAGCAAAGTGTCCATTTGGGGTAATCAATATCATCACTAATTCTAATACAAAATGTTTTGGCATAGTCATCAATGACACGTAATTCCTCAAAATAAGTGGCTGTCATTGCTTCAGTCTCTTCATTCTGCCTCTGGTAGCTCCTTGCGCTCCCTTCAGCCATGTGGCCCCTAGAGCAGCCCTGGGGCTGGTGCTGAGGTCCAGAAGCGCAGGGTGGAATTTTTAGTTTCCAAATATTTTTTATCTGTGGTTGGTTGAATCCCCAGATGTGGAACCCACAAATACAGAGGGCCAACTGCGTGTGTGTGTGTGTGTGTGTGTGTGTGTGTGTGTGTACATGTTGAATGTTGGTGTTTATACCTTATGTTCATTTTTTAGAACTGTCTTTTTTTTGAGACAGGGTCTTGCTGTGTTGCCCAGGCTGGAGTGCAGTGGTACTATCATACTCACTGCAATCTCAAATTCATGGGCTCAAGTGCTCCTCCTGCCTGCCTCAACCTCCCAAGTAGCTGAGAATACAAGTGCTTGCCACCACACCCAGCTAATTTTAATTTTTTTTGTAGCAATTGGGTCTCACTATATTGCCCAGGCTGGTCTTGAACTCCTGGCCTCAAGTGATCCTCCCACCTCAGGCTCCCAAAGTGCTGAGATTGCAAGCATGAGCCACCACACCCAGCCTGATGTTTGGTGTTTTCATTGTATTAGTCCATTCTTGCACTACTATAAAGAAATACCTGAAACTGGGTAATTTTTCTTTTTTTTTTTTTTTGAAACGGAGTTTTGCTCTTGTTGACCAGGCTGGAGTGCAGTGGCACGATCTTGGCTCACCACAACCTCTGCCTCCAGAGTTCAAACAATTCTCCTGCCTCAGCATCCCAAGTAGCTGGGATTACAGGCATGCGCCACTATGCCTGGCTAATTTTGTATTTTTAGTAGAGACGGGGTTTTTCCATGTTGGTCAGGCTGGCCTTGAACTCCTGACCTCAGGTGATCCACCCACCTCAGCTTCCCAAAGTTCTGGGATTACAGGTGTGTGCCACTGGAAACTGGGTAATTTTTAAATAAAAGAGGCTTAATTGGCTCACGGTTCCACAGGCTGTACAGGAAGCATGCTGGGGAGGCCTCAGGAAACTTTCAATCATGGTGAAAGACAAAAGAGAAGCAGGCACGTCTTACAGGGCCAGAGCACGAGGAATAGAGAGAGTGGGGAGGTGCTACACACTTTTAAACAACCAGATCTCCTGATAATCCACTCACTATCACGAGAACAGCACCAAAGGGGAAATTTGCGTACAAGATCCAATCATTTCCCACCAGACCCCGCCTCCAACATTGGGGATTACAATTTGTCATGAGATTTGGGCAGGGACACAGACCCAACCATATCATTCATTATCACTCAATTTAAGTATGTCTTAAAATTTAAAAAAAAATTTTTTTTGTCTTATAACTGATGAAGTGGCAAATATTTCTTAATTTTTCTCATGACATCTGCTTGGTCCCAGGAGTTACTTAATGGTGCACTTTTAAGTTTCCAAGTAAATTTTAAGTAATCTTTTTTTTTTTTTTTTTGAGACAGAGTTTTGCTCTTGTTGCCCAGGCTGGAGTGTAGTGGCATGATCTCGGCTCACTGCAACCTCCGCCTTCTGATTTCAAGAGATTCTCCTGCCTCAGCCTCCCGAGTAGCTGGGATTACAGATGCCCACCACCACGCTTGGTTAATTTTTGTATTTTTAGTAGAGACGGGGTTTCACCATGTTGGTCAGGCTGGTCTCGAACTCCTGACCTTGTGATCCACCCACCTCGGCCTCACAAAGTGCTGGGATTACAGGCGTGAGCCACCACACCCAGCCAATTTTAAGTAATCTTTAACTTTAAAATTTTAATTGCCAGAAGGTCAGAGACTGTGGCCAGTAGAATATTCTGATTAGTAGATATTTTTTCCCTCCATTTTAACTCTAATGCCCTTTCCTTGAGCTAAAGCTTTTCTTCTTAACTCTGTCTTCCTCTAGAATAAGGGAAGACATTTTCGGGAGGTTCTTATTTTCCTCTGACCCCTGGCCACTAGTCCAACTAGTGCAACACATACCTGAATCTTAGAGTAAGTGGAGCACAGGATTAAACTGCAACTCGTGCCACACATGTCATTTTTAGCCCTCTCCACAGTGCATTGCACGTAGGACTAGTAGATAGCATTTCTTGAAGGCTCACCATGTGCTGGGCATTGTACTGAGAATATTGTATACAGTATCTCATTTAATCATCACAACACCTTTATTTTCTGCCATTTTGTGCACGAGGAAATGGAGGGAATGAGAAATTGAGTAACTTTCCCCAAGGCACACAGCTTAAGGTGATAACACCAAGAGAAGTGCCTAGTGTTTGTCTGACCACAGAGCCCACGCTATGTGAGCACTCACATGAGATGTGCTGAACAAATCTTATTTTGTCATTTGCTGAAATAAGATTTGTTCAGCAAATGAACACATTCAGTGAATCTGTTCAGTAGTTCACGGCCAAAATGGAATTCGTTGCCACTGGGTTATGCATCCACATAATCCTCTGTTATCACTTTATATAGTACACTCAACACTTGGGGAAAATCCTCAGGAATTTGGAATTATCTTCCTTTTGGACTGTTTTCAAACTATCTCTGAAACAAGAATGTGAAGAAATACAAGGCTGGTAAATTATTAAAGCTGCTACCTGTCTCTTAATGTCAGTGGTTTTCATGTTACATGTCTTTCTGACAAACCAATAGACACCTAACCACATCCTTGTTCTTAATGCTTCCTGTTAATGCTGTTAAAGCTCAGGAAATTGTGAACTTTCTAAATTACTTAAGATAATTTGCAATCATCCTCAAAAATCACTTTTTGTTGCTTCATCTTGTTGCATAACTTTGCTTTATCCTCACGATAGATCCCATTTTCCACAATTAATTACTTATATATTTTAAATTTGTGTTGTATATGTTCATACAAACAAAAATAAAACAAATTGAATACATATGGAGTACACTTTATTATTTATTTATTTTACTTATTTATTTATTTATTTTTTTCAAGAGGGAGTCTTGCTCTGTCACCCAGGCTGGAGTTCAGTGTCACAATCTCTGCTCACTGCAAACTCCGCCTCCCGGTTTCAAGTAATTTTCCCACCTCAGCCTCCTGAGTAGCTGGGATTACAGGTGTGCACCACCATGCCCGGCTAATTTTTGTATTTTTACTAGAGACCAGGTTTTGCTGTGTTGGCCGGGTTGGTCTTGAACTCCTGACCTCAGGTGATCCACCTGCCTTGGCCTTCCAAAGTGCTAGGATTACAGGTGTGAACCACCAACGCCTGGCCTTATTATTTTTAGTTTTGTGTGGTTTTTCTTTTTTAAAGTTTTCTTCTTGAATTCAATGACAACAAGCAATGTTTGAAATTATCTTTTGATTTTAAATAGCTACTGTTTCTACTTTAAAATGAAAGAAACACGATATGTACAAGTTAAAACAATAGAGCTGTTTATGATCATTTACTTTTTTATTGTGACAAAGTATATATTACATAAAATTTAACATTTTAACTTTTTTTTTTTTTTTTTGAGACAGAGTCTTGCTTTGTTGCCCACGCTGGAGTGCAGTGGCACGATCTCAGCTCTCTGCAAGCCCTGCCTCCCCGGTTCTCACCATTCTCCTGCCTCAGCCTCCCGAGTAGCTGGGACTACAGGCGCCCGCCACCACGCCCGGCTAATTTTTTTTTTTTTGAGACAGAGTCTCCCTCTGTCGCCCAGGCTGGAGTGCAGTGGCGCGATCTCAGTCACTGCAAGCTCCGCCTCCTGGGTTCACGCCATTATCCTGCCTCAGCCTCCTGAGTAGCTGGGACTACAGGCGCCCACCACCATGCCCGGCTACTTTTGTTTTTGTATTTTTAGTAGAGACGGGGTTTCACCGTGTTAGCCAGGATGGTCTCGAACTCTTGACCTCGTGATCCACCCGTCTTGGCCTCCCAAAGTGCTGGGATTACAGGCGTGAGCCACCGCGCCCAGCCAATTTTTTGTATTTTTAATAGAGACGGGGTTTCACTGTGTTAGCCAGGAAGGTCTCGATCTCCTGACCTCGTGATCCGCCCGCCTCAGCCTCCCAAAGTGCTGGGATTACAGGCGTGAGCCACCGTGCCCGGCCTTTTTTAACCGTTTTTAAGTGTAACATTCGGTGGCATTACGTACACTCACCGTTGCACAACTGTCGCCACTGAATTTCCCCCAGATTGCAGAGTTACTTTGGGAACACTATTTTGGTGATCTGAGGATTTTCAGAGGCTTTCACTTGAATGTTCTTAATATAATAGCCCTCCCTCGCTTCATCAATCAAAGAACAGTTGCTAAATATACCTTTTCCCACCGTTCATTCTGAGACTAGAGAAGTAACCACTGAATGGCTCCATCACGCCATTGGACACACTGGGAAACTGACTCTGGTCAAGGTTCCATCTATCACCTGGGTTCTGTAAACTTCTACTCTGAGTGGTGGACTATGCTGGATTTGTTGTTGTTGCGTTTGTTTCATTTCATCTTACTTTATTTTGTGTCTCCATGGATTAGCATCAGTTCAGAGCCAAAATCAATTAGCCCCCCCCTCCACCAAAAAAAATATTTACCTGTCTCCAGTTTATAGTCACACTGGGAAATGGCCCTACTTATTTCTGGGGAATGTTTTACTGAAGATCCACAAAACACACCTGTGGTCACATTGCAGTGTGCTTTCGGGCTCCAAGTCTGAACTAGCTTAGTTTGAGAAACTGGCTAAGAGTGTGTGAATTCCCACTACAGTGACTTAAACTAGGTTTCTGCCCACTAGACCTAGAATCATTGCCTGGATATGTGAAGAAGTACTTTGGGCTGCCCTTGTATTTAATTCCTACAGTCTTATGACTGATTACACGATGTTACATATCCCGAAAGTTCATACCCTGTGATCGTACACACTTCATCCCTGTGGGTTACTCTGGTAATTGTACTCACCTTGTGTTATGCAATTTGTGTTCCCCCAAAATCCGTAAGTTGAAACCCTAACCGCCAATGGGATGGTATTAGGAAGTGGGGTCTTTGGGAAATAATTAGGTATAGATGAGCTCATGAGGGTGGAGCTCCTGCTATAGGATTAGTGTCCTTAGAGAAGAGAAAGAGAAGAGCTCTCACTCTCTTTGCCATGTGAGAAGACAGCCATCTGTGAACCAGGAGGCAAGCCTTTACTGCAAACCAGCCATGCTGGCACCCTAATCTCAGGACTTCCAGTCTCCAGAACTTGAGCAATAAATGTTCGTTGTTTAAGTACCCATCTATGGTATTCTGACTGACTAAACCCAAACTGACTAAGACACCTTGTCACTGCAAGCTAAGGATTGCAACTGGCCTCTACCACTCCTGGATCCTTTATTCCAGCTGAGATCAGGAAATTCAATTCCATGGCAACATCCTTTGCCACCATCTCCTGCTGGCAAAGAACAGCTGCAACACAGTTTTATAAGAATGCTCAAGTCTCCTTACTGTTGCATCTGTAATGCCTGGGTATAGGGGACGTCCTCCAGGCTCTTCCAGGGATGACTGTCTTTCAGAGTGGCAGGGCAGGCTGTTCATAACAGATTCATGCATCATTCTTGTTTCCCTGGGCCTTTAGACTCCTTCCTCTACTTGTATACAATGTTCATAACAGCATTATTCATAATAGTCAAAAAGTGGAAACAACCCAACATGTGTTCATTGGCACCATCCTAAGGCTTAGTGTTCATCTGCCCTTTATTTAAGATGAAGAGGTTTTCCTTGCACATCCATTTATTCGCCCTGTTACCGAAATGCCAGGGGTTCTGTCTAGGTACTGCTGCTTGATCACTGAGACAATGGGTATTGCCAGGGAAGAAGGCTTTAGTTGGGTGCTGCAGCTGAGGAGATGGGAGATGAGTTCTAGATCAGTCCCAAATCCATCTCCCTGACTGATTAAAATTAAGGGTTTGTATAACAGAAAAGAAATGTAACCATTTTTGGGAAAACAAGAATTAGGGAGGGGTAAAGGGGAGGAGTTGGTCAACAAGAAGCAGGTGGTTGCTTAGGCAATCATGATGGGTGAGGGGTCTGGCTCCTCATTGTCCAGATGCAGTGATCTGGTAAGTTTCAGTTCCTTGATAATATCTGGGAGGCCTGATGGTTGGCTTCATGAGGAAGGAACTCAGATTAAGACAAATGTAACTTTCTCAAGTTTTAAGACTGGGAGGGTCAGTTTTCTTTCAGTTTCTTTCTTTTATTCAAAAGAAACCACAAATACCAGTTCTATCAGACAGTTGGGCCATTTTCAACTCAAGGCATCTGAGTTCCTCCTCATCAAGGTAGGGTGACTTTAAATGTCTACAAAGGTGGGATGTGGATTGTCCTCAGATTCTGTGTTTGTTTATAGGGGTGTGTGAAAAATTTCCCCTATCATTCAGCCTTCATGATGGAAGATCTTTTTCTCCTTTCTTCTTCCTTTAAGTCTCTATTTCCTTTCACTTTCCCCTGCAATCAAGCTGCTTGTTCTTCTATCTCCTTCCTATTCCCAGCTGTGATTTTATCTAGTCTTTGTGAATTAAGAAACTGGTTTAAGAAACTGGTTTCTAAGCATGCATTTTAATCATTTCAAGTCACAGTCAAGTTAGCAATTCTTGAACTTTTTTTCTGCAACATTGTGGCCTGGGGAAGGCGGGAAAGGAGCTTTTGGGGGATCATTAAGAGAGCAAAGCACAAAGGTATACAGCAAATATAAGCAAATGTATACTTCAGGCCCTAACCATGCCACGTTATAACAGAAACACTTTTCTCCAGGACTCTTGTTGGCATCACCCCTTAGGATCCAGATATGCTGGAGAAGATACAAATCATTCTGACTTAAAGAATCTTCAAATCAGTAAATATTTTTTGAGGATCATTGCCATACCATGTACCATGCAAAATGCCAGGAATACAGCAGTTAAACACAAACACACATGGTTCCTGAATTTGTGGACCATGTTTTTATGAACCTCATAGTACCGGCTAGAATTGTGAAATCATTGTAGGCACCATCTCTACTGCAGAGAAGAAAACTTTTGCATATATTGGAGAACTGAGCCTCTAGTCATATTTCAATATTGTCTCCAAGTCCCTTTTAATTCAAGGCCTTCTTCATTACAATCCACATCCTGGAATAGAAACTTAGACTAGTTGATAGCGTACAAGAGTTGACAAGGCAGAGGAGATGCTCAGAGATAGAAAAGGAGGCTTGTCAGAGTTTCCAAGCTAACTACATTGTATATCTCAGATGAGAGAAAAAGGGTTTCTCTCGTTAATTAAGAAATTCCTTTGGAGATTAATGAGGACAGAATGCAGGATGTACAAGAGAATATTCTCAAACCAAACAGCTTTTAACCTGGGAGAATAAAGAGACCCAAAGGGCTAGTCTTTGTCTAGAGCAGAGAAAACACAGAAGAAAATTTAAAAATATTCCTCCATTCCAATATTTGTATAATCTTGAGGAAAAGGCCTTTTTAAGCAAAAGACAAAATCTTTAATCCAGAGGATATAGAAGAAGAAAAAGATTTATGTTTGGCTACATAAAAATTAAAAACAGCATAGTAAAACATGTGACTAAAATGTTAAAAAGCAAAGAGCATTCTGGGGAAAAATATTTGCAACACTTAAGATTGGCACATATATTTCTTACAAGTAATAAGTCCAACAACTTAATAGGAAAATTGGCATTCTACTGACACTCGTTTGAATTTGGGAAAAAAGTTTTTTTAAAAAGAAAATTGGCAAAAGATATAAACCTACTGTTAAAATAAAAATAAATATTAAATAGCATGCATTAAATACTAAACAAAATAAATATGGCATATAAACAAATGAGAAGATGTTCAACTGCATTCATAATTAAGGAAATGCAAATTAAAATAGCAGAAAACCATTTTAACTTAGATGGATAAATCTCCATGGTGCTGGGGAATTTGCTGGAAAATAGACATACTTGGAACTATAAATCTTTGTAGCTGCATTGGTGGGCAATTTGGCATTTTTTTTTTTTATACTTTAAGTTCTGGGATACATGTGCTGAACGTGCAGGTTTGTTACATAGGTATACATGTGCCATGGTGGTTTGCTGCACCCAACAACCCGTCATCTAGGTTTTAAGCCCCGCATGCATTAGGTATTTGTCCTAATGCTCTCCTTCCCCTTGCCCCCCACCCCCTGACAGGCTCCAGGGTGTGATGTTCCCCTCCCTGTGTTCTTGTGTTCTCATTGTTCAACTCCCACTTATGAGTGAGAATATGCGGTGTTTAGTTTTCCGTTCCTGTGTTAGTTCGCTGAGAATGATGGTTTCCAGCTTCATCCATGTCCCTGCAAAGGACATTGAACTCATTCTTTTTTATGGCTGCATAGTATTTCAAAATGTAAAACACAATATTCTTTACATCAGTCATTTCCTGTTTGCTTTCCAACCCATTCCCTACCCTTCTGCTCTGCTCTGTCCCACAGAGGCTGAGCCCTGCAAACTACAGTTCCTAAGCCCCTTTGCTAACTGGCTTTTATTTAGAATCAGCCAATGGAAAGTGCTGGCAGGAGACTGAAGGGTGAATAATTGAATGGGAGAGCCAGCATATTTCTTTCCCCTTTCTGCATCTGGGGGTCTTCCCAGCAGCGGCTGCATCTGTCTCATATATGACCCAGCTCCCACCAGGCAGGACAGCCCTTCCCACCCAGCTTCTAGCCTCTGGTCACACCGGCTCCTCAATTTGTCCCTCTAGCCCTTGGTGGTTTTATCTTGTTGCTGATCTTTTTTTTTTTTTTTTGAGTGGGGGACACTGTTTCATTCTTGTTGCCCAGGCTGGAGTGTAATGGCGCCATCTTGGCTCACCACAACCACCACCTACTGGGTTCAAACGATTCTCCTGCCTCAGCCTCCTGAGTAGTTGGGATTACAGGCCTGTGCCACCACACTCGGCTAATTTTGTATTTTGGGTTTTTTTTTTGTTTTTTTTTTGTGAGACGGAGTCTCGCTCTGTCACCCAGACTGGAGTGCAGTGGCGTGATCTCGGCTTACTGCAAGCTCCGACTCCCAGGTTCACACCATTCTCCTGCCTCAGCCTCCCAAGTAGCTGGGACTACAGGCGCCCGCCACCACGCCCGGCTAATTTTTGTGTATTGTTTTTAGTAGAGATGGGGTTTCACTGTGTTAGCCAGGACGGTCTCGATCTCCTGATCTCATGATCCGCCCACCTCGGCCTCCCAAAATGCTGGGATTGCAGGCGTGAGCCACTGCGCCCGGCCTAATTTTATTTTTTGTACAGATGAGGTCTCACTTTGCTGCCTAGGCTGGCCTCGAACTTCTAGCCACAAGTGATCCTCCCGTTTCAGCTTCCCAAAGTGTGGGGATTATAGGTGTGAGCCACCTCACCTGGTCCAACCATTTTATTTATAATAATTTTTCCTTCATTCTTAGCTGTGTGAGCGTCTGCAGGCAAATACCTCAGCACAAGGATACTCAGTGAAGCATTGCTTTTAAGGGAAAATGCACAGAAACAATCTAGGTATTTATTGATTGGTGATTCATACAATGGAATACTATACAGCAAATTAAAGGAACGAGGTAGATTTATATACGTGGAAAGATAGGCAAGATATTGTTAAGTGAGAAAAGCAAGATGCCAAACAGCATGTACAGTATGAGTTAAAAAAAAAAAAATACACATAGGCCGGGCGTGGTGGCTCACGCCTGTAATCCCAGCACTTTGGGAGGCTGAGGTGGGCAGATCTTGAGGTAAGGAGGTGAGGAGATTTGAGACCATCCGGGCTAACATGGTGAAACCCTGTCTCTACTAAAAATACAAAAAATTAGCTGGGCATGGTGGCATGAGCCTGTAGTCCCAGCTACTCGGGAGGCCGAGGCAGGAGAATCGCTTCAACCCAGGAGGCAGAGGTTGCAGGGAGCTGAGATTGCGCCACTGTACTACAGCCTGGGTGACAGAGCGAGACGCCATCTCAAATTAAAAAACAACAACAAACAAAACAAAACAGCACAGCCAGGCGCAGTGGCTCACATCTCTAATCCCAGCACTTTGGGAGGCCAAGGTGAGCAGATGACTTGATGCCAGCATGTCCAGAATTGGTTCCTTCTGGTGGGTTCTTGGTCTCACTGAGTTCAAGAATGAAGCTGCAGACCTTCGTGGTGAGTGTTACAGCTCTTAAAGATGGTGTGTCAGGAGTTTGTTCCTTCAGATATGTCCAGAGTTTCTACCTTCCAGTGAGTTCATGGTCTTGCTGACTTCAAGAATGAAGCTGCCAACCTTCATGGTGTTACAGCTCTTAAAGGTGGTGCAGACCCAAAGAGTCAGCAGCAGCAAGATTTATTGTAAAGAGCAAAAGAAAAAAGCTTCCACAGCATGGAAGGTGACCTGAGTGGGTTGCCACTGCTGGCTGGGGGGGTGGCCAGCTTTTATTCCCTTATTTGGCCCCACCCACATCCTGCTGATTGGTCCATTTTACAGAGCACTGATTGGTCCATTTTACCGAGTGCTGATTGGTGCGTTTACAATCCTTTAGCTAGACACAGAGCGCTGATTGGTACATTTTTACAGAGTGCTGATTGGTGCATTTACAATCCGTTAGCTAGACACAGAGTACTGATTGGTATGTTTTTACAGAGTGCTGATTGGTGCATTTACAATCCTTTAGCTAGACACAGAGCGCTGATTGGTGCGTTTACAATCCCCTAGCTAGACAGAAAAGTTCTCCAAGGCCCCACTCAACCCAGGAAGTCCAGCTGGCTTCAGCTCTCACCAGGAGTTCAAGACCAGCCTGGGCAACAGGTCAAGACCTGGCTCTACAAAATTTAAAAAATTAGCAAGGCATGGTGGTGCATGTTTGTGGTCTTAGCTGCTTAGGAGGCTGAGAGAGGAGGATCGCTTGAGTCTGGGAGGTCGAGGTTGCAGTGTGCTGTGTTCATGCCACTGTACTCCAGCTGGGGCAACAGAGTGAGACCCTATCTCAAAAAATAAATAAATAAAATAAAAATTTTAAAGACATACATGCATACATGTGTGCTTTAAAAAATAGTGTCTAAAAAACACTCTGGAGCTAGACAGCCTGGGATTACATCTCAGTTTCACTACTTGATAACTTGTTGGGCAATTTACTTGAGTTCTCTGTTTTTGTATCTATCCCTGGTTCCTTATCTGTAAAATGGTGTTATGATAATAATCCTCATAAGGTTTTTTTGACTATTACATGAGTATAATTCAGGAGTTAGCAAACTAATAGCCATAGGCCAAATCTGGCTGTTGCTTGTTTGCTTTTTTTTGAGATGGGGTCTCGCTCTGTCACCAGGCTGGAGTGCAGTGGCCCAATGTCAGCTCACTGTAACCTCCGCCTCCTGGGTTCAAGTGATTTTCCTGTCTCAGCCTCCCAAGTAGCTGGGACTTCAGGCACGCACCACCATGCCCAGTTAATTTTTGTATTTTTAGTAGAGATGGGATTTCACCATGTTGGCCAGGATGGTCTCGATCTCCTGACCTCGTGATCTGCCTGCCTTGGCCTCCCAAAGTGCTAGGATTACTGGCGTGAGCCACTGCGCCTGGCGCTATAGCTTGTTTTTTTAAATAAAGTTTTATTGGAACATAGCTGCATCCGTTAGTTTACATACTCCCTATAGCTGCTTTCTTACTACAACAAAGTGTTGATTAGTTGCAACGGAGACCAAGTGCTCTACAAAGCCTAAAATATTTGCTATGTAACTTTAACATAAAAAATTTGCTTTCTGCTGAATTAATGCATATAAAGTGTTTAGGAGAGTACTTGACACGTAGTAAATGTTCAATGTTTATGGTGGTTATTGTATAAACATGGAAAATTTCTGCAAGGATTCCTGCTTGGGAGTCTGGGACACCATTCTTTGACACCATTTGACTTTTTCTTTTTGTCTTATACCTTTTTATGTTTGATTCTCCATAAATTATTTCTTTAGTTAAAAAACCAATTAGCAGGCCGGGCACGGTGGTGCATGCCTGTAATCCCAGAACTTTGGGAGGCCGAGGTGGGTGGATCACCTAAGGTCAGAGGTTCAAGACCAGCCTGGCCAACACGGTGAAACCCGGCCTCTACTAAAAATATAAAAATTAGCCAGGCATGGTGGCACTCGCTTGTAATCCCAGCTACTCGGGAGGCTGAGGCAGGAGAATTGCTTGAACCCAGGAGGCAGAGGTTACAGTGAGCCGAGATCGTGCCACTGCACTCCAGCCTGGGCGATAGAGTGAGACTCAGTCTCAAACAAAAACAAAAACAATTAACTTAAAAATAATTTTAATTGTCATTAATTATATAATTTATATTATTTATATTTAATGTCCTTTTACATTAAGATAAGCAGAACTGGAAGGGATCTCGTAGTTTGGCACACTATAAACCCTAAACTGGGCCAAGAGCAGTGGCTCACACCTGTAATCCCAGCATTTTGGGAGGCCAAGGCAGATGGATCACCTGAGGTCAGGAGTTTGAGACCAGCCTGGCCAACATGGTGAAACCCTGTCTCTACTAAAAATACAAAAAATTAGCTGGGCCTGGTGGCACGTGCCTGTAATCCCAGCTACTTGGAACGTTGAGGCAGGAGAATCACTTGAACCCAGGAGGCAGAGCTTGCAGTGAGCCGAGATCACGTCATTGCACTCCAGCCTGGGCAACAAGAGCAAAACTCTGTCTAAAACAAACAAACAAACAAAAACCTAAACTGTAGATTCTAAGATTTATGTGGTTTTGAAAGATACAAAGCTATTGGGGAACTTTAGGGGTCCATCTGGGATGGTTTGTCATATCCAGAGCTGCATTTGAGGGCTGGTTCATTTGCAAGTTCCCAGGAAGGCAGAGATAACATGAATTGGTATTTTCCACAGCAGCTTGTCAAGAGCTTTATCTTTTCTCCCATCTGTTTGGATTGGATACTTAACAGCTCTACAGCTGCTCTTTGGAGGAATCTTACAAATTCTGAGGAGAGAGCACTTTGCCTGGAAATCATGCTAAAGTTATCTTTGTAGCTACTTCAGTTATCTATTGCTAGATAATAAACCACTCCAAACTGCTCCTGTTTCTGTAGGTCTGGACACTAGACAGGGCTTGGCTTGATGGTTCTTTTAGTTCATGTGGTGACAGCCATGGTCACTCACTAGGATGGCTTCAGTGAGACGATGGGCTGGGGTTCTGACAAGAAAATCCACAATGGAGATGGTTGATGGTTTTGTTGGAGGTATCTAACAGTTGAGTTGAGAAGGCATGAAGAGTTGGACCCTCAGATGAAATCTGACTGTAACTGGGCCAAATTGTAAAACCAGCTGCATTTGATTTGAACTGTTTATGCTTTGCCTGATCATCAACCTGAAGAGTGTAAACCAAAAATTATATCCTAAGCCCCCAACCAACTGAACAGACAGCTGTCTAGGCCGAGGGGACCCCAGAGCAAGCTGAAAAACTAAATTCCAGGCCATGATGGGAAGGAAGGGTTGGACGTACCTCATTATACTCTCTCCCTTTTAAAGTTTAGGTATAACAGACCAGCATTAATATTAAAATAGAGATCATAAGACTGACAAAAACAGACTCTTTGGTAAGAAGATACCAAATTCCAACTGGTATAATATCACATGACAGATAACAGACCTTGAAGAAAATTAAAATATTTTACCTCAAAATATATTTCTTTGGCATATTTTGAAATGGTCCTGAGAAGCCATCTTTTGAGAAAGAAATTTTGCATCTGTAGAGGATCTTTATTAATGCAGCTAGGCTTTTCCCAGATCTAGCAGAGATTAACTAAGAGTCTGACACCTGTGAAATTCCAAAAGAGACGTTTACCATCTATTCTCTCTGAAGCCTGCTATCTGAGGCTTCATCTATATAACAAGAATCACAGCCCACCCCCCCTTATCTCAACCCAAGCATTTCTTTCTACTGACTTTGTCTTTTTTTTTTTTTTTTTTTTTTTGAGATGGAGTGTCGCTCTGTCACCCAGGCTGGAGTGCAGTGGTGCAATCTTGGTTCACTGCAAGCTCTGCCTCCTGGGTTCACGCCATTCTCCTGCCTCAGCCTCCCGAGTAGCTGGGACTACAGGTGTCCACCACCACGCCTGGCTAATTTTTTTTTTTTTGTATTTTTAGTAGAGACGGGTTTCACCATGTTAGCCAGGATGGTCTCGATCTCCTGACCTTGTGATCCGCCCGCCTCGGCCTCCCAAAGTGCTGGGATTATAGGCGTGAGCCACCACGCCCGGCCTGACTTTAAGTCTTCAGCTTAACTCTTTTGACCAATTCCAAATCAGAAAATCTTTGAATCCACCTATGACCTGTATTGCTCCTTCCTTAAGCTGTCCCGCCTTTCCTGGCCAAACCAATGTATACCTTAGATGTATTGATTTGTCTTTGCCTATAACTTCTGTCTCCCTACAATGTATAAAACCAAGCTGTAATTCAACCACCTCAGGCACACTTTCTCAGGACCTCTTTTAGACTGTTCCCTGGGCCATGGTCACTCATATGGGCTCAGAATAAAGCTCTTTAAATATTTTGCAGAGATTGGCTTTTTTTTTTTTTTTTTTTTACCGACAAGAGACAGCTATGCTGAACTAGATTGATCATCAAAGACGTACTAAATTGTTAACCAGCCATCATCCATTATGAACTATGCTAAAACCTTCCAGATGTGTAAACTCACAGTAGTCCTTCTAAGCCTCTGCCTAATCTCACCAAGACGGAACATGATTTTCCTATTTGCTGGATCTGTGTCTCCCAATTGCAATTCCTGAGACCCAGATTAAAATGCATTTTCTTTTGTTTGCCACTCCACAGTGTTGGTTTTACTTCTTATTAGTTGGCTGGCTCAAAAGTCCAAAAAGGCTTCACTCAATGCGTGGAGCCCCAGTGGTCCTCCACGTGGCCTTTCTCTCTCCATGTAGTCTCTTCTCTTCCAGTTGTCTTGGCTGAGCTTCTTCAAAGCATAGCATCTAGCTTCCTGAAACAAAAATGGAAGCTTCCAGGCCCCTGAAAATTTAAGCCTAGAACAGGAACATAAAACACAACTATACTGGGAATAAAACCTTTCCATCACTAAATTAGGTTCAAGTGGTGGTGGGGGGAGGAAGTGGGCCTGCAAATTTCCTGACATTAGACAGTTTAACTAGAGGGAAAAAGAACATGCTTTATATTCATACATGTGACAGCATTAGAAAGCAGTAGCTTGCTGAACAGCTAGGGGTAAGGGTATATTACAACAACAATTTAATAGGCAGAAGGAGCGGGAAAGCTAGAGCTTCTGTGGGAAGTACAAATGGGCTTTTAGGGAAACCAATGGCAGGTATTACAGTTTATGATAATGTTTGTTTATGCAATTTCTCACCCAGGTGCTAACAGTCAGGCTCCTTCCTGGCTGGAAGCTCCCCCAGAGAGGGGATTTATGGCAGCTTCATTCTCCAAAGGCCCTGCCTATAGTCAGATAAGGGAAGCTCAGAAGAGGCTTCTTTCTGCATCTATAACTTGAATGTCTTAAAAGAATCATTGTACCATAGGGTGGGTTGTGATTCCCTTTAACTTCCACCTCATTCTGTTTATTAGTCAAGGGAAGTCGCAAAACCAGACGGAATTCAAGGGAAGGAAACCGACTCCGCCTCTGATGGCTGCAACAGTATGCACATTCAGGGAGGAAAGGAATTAGCAGTGGTCATCTTTCTGGACCATCTACCACAGTGGCTAAAGTTAACACCTAGAAAGGAAGGTCGTGTTTTCAGCTTCTTTGACTGCTGCTCCAGGTGTCAAACCCTGAAGGGTGAGCTGACGCTAAAGACTGAGTGGTTATTTTTTCCAGAAGAGGAGAAAGATTGAAAATGTGGCCGGCCGATTCTCCCTGATGATCACACAGACAGACCTGCATGACAGTCAAACAGACAGGCCTGCATAGCACCCCAGTTACACAGACGAATTTCCCCAGAGCTGCCTTAACATTGAGCAAATAGTTAAACCTAGGGAAATTGGTGCCCAGACAGCAAAGCTAGAAATGAAACATATGGTCAGTAGGAGCCTTGCGTGGGCTTCTCCCTAACCTGGAGCAAACCAAAATAATAGAGACAGTCTTTCATTCCTAGTGCCAGGACCCGTCTCGGGTCAACGAAATCTGAGACAGTCAAGGTAACAGAGGCAGCTGTTCGAATAGATTCATTGGAGAGTCTAAGGCAGCCCTCCAGACCAAGCTGTAAAGCAGATAAGATAGAAATAATCACTCTGGTACCACAGTAGACAGGCCTTGTAGGTACTGGGCCGCTCACAGCTTAATCCGACTTAGAAAGCATTTTTGCCTCTGACCTTCTAGTTGAAACAAAATTAGTTACCAGTAGACTTAGGCAAATGCTACACTGCACACAGGCGCATAACCCCAACCTATATAAACACTAAGACAATTGTTGACACTTTGAGTTGGCCTGGTGGAATTATCTCCAGCCTTCTGCCTGTATCTGGTTACAGCAATAAATTCCCTTCTTTCCTAGTCTGTCTGCTTCTCGTTATTGGGCCTCAAGAAAATGCAGCCGGACCCGGCTTGGTTCCGGGAACAAAAATGCATATTTTAGGTAGGATGTAATTACAGGGATTGACAATCAAACACATACAACATACTGAAACCATGGACTATGTGTAGCATTAGACAGAAACAGGAAGCACCCAGGATAGGGAAATGGCTGCTTCCTGGAGTCTCTCCACTGCCACTCACCACTGCCACACTGGCTGCTCAGATATGTGGTTAAGAAGCCAAGGCTCACGTGCCCAAGAGTGTTCTGCCCAGGAGGGGAAAAATTCTTTTTCCTTCTACTCATTTTAGATTTACAGGCTGGGCCCTGTAAATTAGATTGACAAAAGACAGATTAACAAGATAAAAACGTTTTTATTTTATTTTATTTATTTTTTATTTTTTTATTTGTATTATTATTATTTTTTGAGACGGAGTTTCGCTCTTGTTGTCCAGGCTGGAGTGCAATGGTGCCATCTCAGCTCACCGCAACCTCCGCCTCTCAGGTTCAAGTGATTCTCCTGCCTCAGCCTCCCGAGTAGCTGGGACTACAGGCATGCGTCACCATGACCAGCTAATTTTGTATTTTTAGTAGAGATGGGGTTTCTCCATGTTGGTCAGGCTGGTCTCGAACTCCCAACCTCAGGTGATCCGCCCGCCTCGGCCTCCCAAAGTGTTGGCATTACAGGCGTGAGCCACCGTGCCCGGCCAAGAAAAAGTTTATTTTTATTTATTTATTTATTTATTTTTGAGACGGAGTCTTGCTCTGTCACCCAGGCTGGAGTGCAGTGCAGTGGCCCCATCTCAGCTCACTGCAAGCTCTGCCTTCTGGGTTCACACCATTCTCCTGCCTCAGCCTCCCAAGTAGCTGGGACTACAGGCGCCCGCCACCACGCCCAGCTAATTTTTTTCGTATTTTTAGTAGAGACGGGGTTTCACCTTGTTAGCCAGGATGGTCTCGATCTCCTGACCTCGTGATCCGCACGCCTTGGCCTCCCAAAGTGCTGGATTACAGGCGTGAGCCACCGCGCCTGGCCGAAAAAGTTTTTTAACATGTGCTGCCTGTATACACATGGGAGCATTCAGTGATGAGTAACTAAAAAGGGTGGCTAGAACTGGGGCTTGTCCAGCATCTTAACAAAATGATGAAGGGAAACAGTGACGGGTTAGTCAAAGCACATAAAATGGAGTCGGGAGGCCATTTCGGTTTGGACCTCAGGCCTGTCTTTTTAAAAAAAAAATTAAATTAATTATTTATTTATAGAGACAAGGTCCTACTACGTTGCCCAGGCTGGTTTAGAACTCCTGGGCTCAAGCAATCCCCCTACCTCTGCCTCCCAAAGTGCCAGGATTACAGGCATGAGTCACGGCGCCCAGCCACCCCACGCATGTCTTAAGCAGAGAACTTCCTGGCTAAACAACTGCCAAAACATCTGTGACTGCTTCCTGCTGAGCTGGGAAGTCCCCAGGAACAGGCCACCTTTTAAACAATTACAGCCTGTCTCCTGACTCCAAGACTGCTTTAGATACGATCACACTGATCATAATAGTTGAAAAACAACTTTTTTTTCCCTTCCCTTTCCTCCTTGCCTTTCCTCACCTCTTCCTTCCTCTCTTTCCCACCACCTCCCTTCCCTCTCCCCACGTTCTCACCCCCTCCCTACCTCATCTCCTATTGTCTTTCAGTATTGATGGAGCTGACATCTGACGGTGTGGGAGGCCTATGTGGATCCCAAGCCCTTGGTCCCTTGAAAAGTACAGCCTGAATCTTCATCCTGCCCCCCCACTGCAGCCCAGCCTGCAATGTCACTTATAAAGCAAACTCAACTTTGGTGTCTCCTCCTTCTCTTGTAGCTGTCACCACAGGTCTGGGTCCAACAGACCCTCTTGGCATCTGGTGGGCAGGGGAGGAGCCACTTGACTTCAAGAAGGTGTGTGAGCCACTGTCCACCTTCAGCATCCAGTCTCAGCCTGTGGAAGTCCTTAAGTTCTTTTTCTTTCCAGGCCCTGGGCTGAGGTGGTTAGTGAAGGAGAAACTGGAGAGACAGCAACTGCTTTGCTCTCGCCTCCCCTTCCCTTGCCAGGTCACACTGTGCTTTCACTCACCCAGTACCTGGTATTCTAGTGCCTGCCTTTCCAACCTCCCAGCTGACCCCAGGCCTGTTTATCTGCAGGATGAGAATGCTCCCATCTGCCCTGCATCTCCTGTGCTTCCTGGAAGATTTAGAGGAGCTTGGAAATGTTAGGTGCCGTGGACTTTTAAAGTTCCATTTTGCAAATGGGAAACCCACCTCCCCAAAGCCCCAGACCTAGCGAAAAACAACTTTTCTAGTCGCCCCTTTCCTGATTCATCCTTTTTTTCTTTTAAGGCCCGAGTCTCTTTTTTGATTTCTGGAGCACTTCTCAAGGTAACCTGGAAGTGTTTTCAGACTGCAGTCACTCACATTTGGCTCAGATAAATTATTTGACGTTTAAACCATGCCTCAGTTTTTTCTAGCTTCATAAGAAAGAACATTTGTAGAGAAATGATAATACAAAGGAAAACGACTTTAAGTTTCTAGGGTGATAAATTGTGGGAAAGTAAATATGTTTAAATGGGGGAACTAATAGATGGTAAGAGCTAGTTAATGAAGTTTGAAATGTAGATTCCTCTGGTGTCATCTCTGGGCTGATAAGAATCTACAGTTGTCTCCAGTGATTAACTTTGGTCCTTCCTGGTAGAAAGGGAAGGGCAGACACCTTTAAAAATTTTTGTCCTGGTGAACCAGGCGTGGTGGCTCACGCCTGTAATCCCAGCACTTTGGGAGGCCGAGGCGGGTGGATCACGAGGTCGGGAGATCGAGACCATCCTGGTTAACACAGTGAAACTCCCTCTCTACTAAAAATACAAAAAACAAAATTAGCTGGACATGGTGGCGGGCGCCTGTAGTCTCAGCTACGTGGGAGGCTGAGGCAGGAGAATGGCGTGAACCTGGGAGGTGGAGCTTGCAGTGAGCCGAGATTGCGCCCCTGCATTCCAGCCTGGGCGACAGAGCGAGACTCTGTCTCAAAAAAAAAAATTTGTGTCCTGGCTGGCGTGATGGCTCATGCCTGTAATCCTAGCACTTTGGGAGGCAGAGGTGGGAGGATTGCTTGAGCTCAGGAGGTTGAGGCTGCAGGGAGCCATGTTTACACCACTGCACTCCAGCCTGGTGACAGTGCGAGACCCTGTGTCAAAAAACAAACAAACAAACAAAAATTATGTCCTGCTTTTAGGCAAATATGGAGGGCAGGCAGAGAAGTTTTCTTGTATCTGCATCTGCTTCTGATACGGACAGGGGACAGGGAAAATACTGGTTAGAAGAGGGTGGATCCCTGGCAAAGACCTCACCTTCAAGCCTGAAGACCTGCGGCCCTAAATGAGGACAGGCATTCCTGTTTTCAAGACAAAGAGGTTGCCTTTTGTCCCTCCACACCCTCTATCCTGCCCCCACGTAAACCGCAAACCCCAAGCTCCACAGCAGAGCAGCAGGTGAGTAGAGGAGGATACCAGCAGATGGACGGTGGAACAGCACAGCAGGGAAAGAGAGAAGAGGAGAGACGTCTGGATGCCAAGAGGAGTTCAGCTGGGGGCGGTAGGAAAGGAGTCCAGCCGCTGGGCGGCCTGACTCCAGGGGAAGATCACCTTCCCATTCCATCCACCCACCGTCTGGCTCTCCATCCATCCCTCTGAAAGCCACCTCCACCACTCAATAAAACCTCGCATTCATCCTTTGAGTCCGTGTGTGACCTGATTTTTCCAGGACGCTGAACAAGAGCTCGGGATACAGCAAGCTATCATGTTGGCCCTCTGCCCTTGTGAAAAGGCAAAAGGTCCATTAAGCTGGTTAACATTCAAGCTGTCTTCGGGCGGCCAAGCTGAAAGCTTTGTAACGCTGGGGCTGCAGGCATCCACTCCTAGACACTACAGCCGGGCCAGACCCCAGAGCGCTCACCCCAGCCTCTGCACCTGCCTGTCTGCATGCTCTCTGTCTCACAAGGGGATTAAGCAGTGAGGCAACTGAACAGGTGAGCTACACTTCTGTTGCACGTCCTGCAAGGGGAATCAGGGAAGTATCCCATTTCCCTTCCTTTCACTGTCTTTATCTCAAAATAATCAATATGCCAAAGTGGCATGTTTGGAGTGGCATGTTTTGCTACTCTTCAGTTCACTTGAAGAATTCATTTGTGGGACTTAACCTTTAAGTTGCTTTTTTGTTTCCTTTTTTTCCTTCATTAAATGTCTCAGGAACAGTATAAAATATGATTTTCCTTCTCTCAACCTCCCAGCCCCATAACCTCCCATAGTCTAGCCTTTACATTCACCACCCTACTGAGATTCATCAGTTGAGCCTCACAGTGGCATTCTAATGAACAAATCCCATGGCTTTCTCAATTGCTCACAAATCCTCTTACGGCATTTGAGAGTATTGATCACTCCATACTTGACATATTATCTCTTCCTGGTTTTTCTGATATTCAAAGCCCTGGTTCTCACCTATCTGACCCTTCTGCTTCTCCTTCTGGGATATATGTATATATATTTTTAGATTAACTTTTTGAAGGCCAGGCATGGTGTCTCATGCCTGTAATCCCACCACTTTCAAAGGCCAAGGCAGGCAGATCACTTTGAGCTCAGGAGTTCCAAGACCAGCCTGTGCAACATGGTGAAGCCCTGTCTCTACAAAAAATACAAATATTAGCTGAGTGTCGTGGCGCACACGTATAGTCCCAGCTACTTGGGAGGCTATTGATATAGGAGTTAAAAAGAAATGATTTAGGCAGATAGTGAGGGTAAGAAAGTCCTCAGTAAGGTTTTCCTTTTAATGAAAAGCAGTCCCCAAGTCATTTCTTTTTGAAAAAGTCAGCCTGTAAAATTGAGCTGCAGACATAGATAAGCAAGCTGGAACCTTGCATGGGTGAATGCCGGCAGCTGTGACAATAGGAAAAGGTTACCTGGGGGCTAGGCATGTTCAACATGGCAGCTCCATCTTCCCTTTTCTTTGTCAACCACATGTCCAGTAAGGAACAGGCAACATGGCTCTGGCCAGGTAGAAAACCCATTTGCATAATAAAAGATTAAGGTGGGGTGGCCAGCTTCTTCGTGAGCTATGTAAACGTCACACCTGGTCTAACCAATCTTTGGGCCCTATGTAAATCAGACACTGCCTCCTCAAGCCAGTCTATAAAACCCGTGCACCTCACCATGGAACTGGAAGACCCACTCGGGCACCCCTCTCTCTGCAGGAGAGGGAGCTATTCTCTTTTCTCTTTCTTTTGCCTATTAAGCCTCTGCTCTTACTCATCTCTTGTGTGTCCGTGTCTTCGATTTCCTTGGTATGAGACAATGAACCTTGGGTATTTTCCCAGGCAAATGACACCACTTCACTGTGGTGGGAGGATCGCGGGAACCCGGGAAGTGGAGGTGGCAGTGAGCTGAAAATCATTATTTTCTATCTTCTTGGCTAGCTCTTCTTGTTTCTCTTGCCCTACCCTCCCATCTTCATTTCATCAGCCCCAGAGACTAAAAGAATTGGAAATAGACCCAGCCAAGTGGGCGCTGGGGGTGAAAGGGTGCTCAGTAAAGTTTTTGGTCTCTGGCAACAAGTGCGCCTCAGTGTACGTGGAATGATATGAGACCCACTGCAAAGACCTAGCATTGGTCGGGCCTGGTGGCTCACACCTGTAATCCCAGCACTTTGGGAGGCCGAGGCGGGAGGATCACTTGAGGTCAGAAGTTTGAGACCAGCCTGGCCAACATGGTGAAACCCTGTCTCTACTAAAAATACAAAAGTTATCTGGGTGTGGTAGTGCATGCCTATAATTCCAGTTACTCGGGAGGCTGAGGCAGAACCACTTGATCCCGGGAGGAGGAGGTTGCAGTGAGCCGAGATCGCACCACTGCACTCCAGCCTGGGCAACACAATGAGACTTTGTCTCAAAAAAAAAAAAAAAAAAAATGGCCAGGCGCGGTGGCTCACGCCTGTAATCCCAGCACTTTGGGAGGCGGAGGCGGGCAGATCACGAGGTCAGGAGATCGAGACCTTCCTGGCCAACACAGTGAAACCCCGTCTCTACTAAAAACACACAAAAAAATTAGCGGGGTGTGGTGGTGGGTGCCTGTAGTCCCAGTTACTTGGGAGGCTGAGGCAAGAGAATGGCGTGAACCCAGAAGGCAGAGCTTGCAGTGAGCCGAGATCACGCCACTGCCCTCCAGCCTGGGCAACAGAGCGAGACTCCGTCTCAAAAAAATAAATAAATAAAAATAAAATAGGCCAGGCGCAGTGGCTCACACCTGTAATCCCAGCACTTTGGGAGGCCGAGGCGGGCGGATCACGAGGTCAGGAGATCGAGACCATCCTGGCTAACACGGTGAAACCCCGTCTCTACTAAAAATACAAAAAATTAGCCAGGTGTGGTGGCGGGCACCTGTAGTCCCAGCTACTCAGGAGGCTGAGGCAGGAGAATGGCAAGAACCCGGGAGGCGGAGCTTGAAGTGAGCTGACATTGCGCCACTGGACTCCAGCCTGGGCGACAGATCAAGACTCCCTCTCAAAAAAAAATAATAAATAAAATAAAAGACCTAGCATTAAGAGCTCTCTTCAACAGACATACTGGTATGCAAGCAAAATTCTCCCAGAGATAGGAGTATCTAAGACAGGGCTAAGAAATGGGACAGTAGAAGGAATGGTCAATACTGCACAGTCTGTGTTCTGGAGAGGCTTGACAGTCTTATGGGAAGGAGAAGCTGAACAATGAAATTAGAGACTGTGATATTATGAAATATATATTTGGCCTTTGTCCTGTTTCCTGGCATAAGAACTCCTACAATCTGTGAAATCTGCAAAGTGAGAAATGTCTTTTTGTATGCTAATAAATTGACTTACGGCTGGCAGCCTCTAGGCTTCAGGATGGGGGCTGGTCACCTGAAAGACTAAGGTAGGATTTGCTGGTTCGAACTTTTAGCCCTACTCCTCAACCTCCTGGGAGGGGACAGGGGCTGAAGGTTAAGTTGATCACCAGTAGCCAATGGTTTAATCAATCATGCTTATGTAACAAAGACTCCATAAAAACCCCAAAAATCAGTGTTCAGAGGTTTTTCGGATGACTGAACACATGGAGATTCTTGGAGGGTGGTGTATTCAGAGAGGGCCTGGAAGCTCCATGCCCCTTCCCTCACCCCATGCCCTATGCATCTCTTCATCTGGTGTTCATCATTATTCTTCGTAATATCCTTTATAATAAACCAGTAAAGGTTAGTTAAGTGTTTTTCTGAGTTCTGTGAGCTGCTGTAGCAAATCCATCAAACCCAAGGAGGGGTTTTTGGGAAACCCGATGTATAGCTTGGTCAGTCAGAAGCACAGGTAAAACAACCTGGAGCTTGCAATTGGCATCTGAATGGAAAACAGGGCAGTCTCGGGAATTGAGTCCTCAACCTGTGGAATCTGATGCTATCTCCAGGTGGATAGTGTCAGAACTGAGCTGATTTAGAAGACACCCAACTGGTCAGGATTGATTGATTAGTTGCTGGTGAGAAGAAACCCCTACACATTTTGGTGATCAGAGGTCACAGGAGTCTTCTACGTTGATTGTTAGTGAGAGACTAGGAGAAACTCCTTTTTTTTTTTCTTTCCTATATTCTCAGAGATCCTAACCTGAGAGGAGAAATTTAAGTGCTGGAACACAAGGATTGCTACCAGCTGCTCCTGGGCAAATGGCCAAATTAACGTGCCAGGGATCTGACTGTGACCTTGCCTGTGTGTGTGTGTGTGTGTGTGTGTGTGTGTCCAAACTACTGGGGTTCCTAAGAGATAGCCACCTAGAAAACAAAAGCAAAGCAAGCAAAACCATAAATAATCAGTCTGGTCTGGTGGCTGGAGGGGACTAATGGGCAGTGATGTAAGAAACCCATAATTACTGAATCATAGCTATATTTATAGTTGTATCTTCTCAAATGCTAAAGATTTTACTTAACGTATTAATTAAATGAGAAAAGTAGGCAGATGTTATAACCTGTTCAAAGGCGTCAAAGAAGAAGAAATTTATGTGGAGTAAACAAATGTAGAAATGATTGTGCAAACTGGCTTGGGGTGGGGCAGGTGGGTTGGCCTCCCCCTAACAGACCATTGTCATATATATAGATAAGAATTATTTTACATTAATTCTTGTATCTTGTTATCAATATAGTATTAATTACTTTGCATTGCTAACAAACCTATAGAGTTATAAAGTAACTCTCATAGAATCAGATAACCAGGAAGGATGCAATTTATAAAATGCAGTTTTCGATGGAAGCACAAATTTCTCCCTAAAATGTAAAAGTCTGGAAGAATACATAACAAAGTCTTTGCCCTGTACAAAGGTGGGGGGTGCGGCCGGGAGCAGTGGCTCATGCAGGCAATCCTAGCACTATTAGGAGTCTGAGGTGAGTGGATTGCTTTTAGTTCATGAGTTCGAGACCAGCCTGGGCAACATGGCAAAACCCCTTCTTTACAAAAAATATTAGCCACGCATGGTGGCATGCACCTCCCAGCTACTCGGGAGGCTAAGGCAGGAGGATCACTTGCACCCGGAGGTCAAGACTACAGTGAGCCATGATCACACCACTGCACTCTAGCCTGGGTGACAAAGTAAGACCCTGCCACAAAAAAAAAAAAAAAAAGAAAAAAGAAGGTTGGGGATATATCTATGTGTTTTCCTTTAAACACTTATGTAAAGTTAAGTGCTTTTACAAGAATGTATTCATTGCAAAATTTGCTCTAAAAGAAAGAAACCACATTTAAAAGTTGACGTGAGTTGAGTGCCATATAGTCTAAAAGATGAGCAGAGCTCTGTAGTCAGTGGCTGGGTTTGCATCCCAGATTCACCCTTTACAGCTGTTTGATCTTAAGTTACATAGCCTAAGGCAGTTTCTTCAGCTGTGAAATGGAATGATATTAATACTGCCCGTTAAAAACATTTTAACTGGGGGCGGAGCGTGGTGGCTCATGCCTGTAATCTCAGCACTTTGAGAGGCCAAGGTGGGCGGATCACCTGAAATCAGGAGTTTGAGACCAGCCTGGCCAACAAGGCGAAACCCCATCTCTACTAAAAATACAAAAATTAGCCACACATGGTGGCATGCACCTGTAATCCCAGCTACTCAGGAGGCTGAGGCAGGAGAATTGCTTGAACTCGGGAGGTGGAGGTTGCAGTGAACCGAGATTGCGCCACTGCACTCCAGCCTGGGTGACAGAGGGAGACTCTTTCTCAAAACAAAACAAAACAAAACAAAACAAAACATTTTAACTGGGAGGCCATTAGGCTGAGATAGTCTCAGCTTTTTGGGTTCCTATGTAAGCAAACTGAGGCCCAATGTAAAAAGTAAAACAAAACTAGAGACTTAACCAACCAGAAACTGTCAATTAACTTCTAACTAGGGACTTTCCATGGGTTTATACCCAAATAAGGGCAGGTCTACTTGTAGCCAATCAGGAGATCTTTCCTCATTTGAAGATCCTGGCACTCTTCTTAAAAATGTTGACCATAAACATGTGGGTTTACTTCTGGACCCTCAATTCCATTCAATTGATCTACATGACAATTCTTAGACTACAGCCACACAGGTTTGAGTACTACAGCTTTTCAATAAGTTTTTTGTTTTTGTTTTTTTGAGACGGAGTCTCGCTGTGTCACCCAGGCTGGAGTGCAGTGGCATGATCTCAGCTCACTGCAACCTCTGCCTCCCGGGTTCAAGCAATTCTACTGCCGAGTAGCTGGGATTACAGGTGCCCACGACAATGCCCAGCTAATTTTTGTATTTTTAGTAGAGATGGGGTTTCACCATGTTAGCCAGGCTGGTCTCAAACTCCTGACCTCAGGCGATCTGCCCACTCGGACTCCTAAAGTGCTGGGATTACTGGTATAAGCCACTGCTTCCAGCCCTTATTAAGTTTTTACATTGCAAAGTGCGAGTCCTCCAACTTTGTTCTTCTTGATTGTTTTGAGTATTCTAGGTCCCTTGCAATTCCATATGAATTTTAGATCATTTTGTCAATTTCTATAACTAGCTGGAATTCTGATCAAATCTTCAAATCTGTAAATCTATAGATCAATTTGAGGAGTATTGCTTTTGTTTGTTTTGTTTTTGAGACAGGATCTCAGTCTGTCACCCAGGCTGGAATGCAGTGGTGTGATCACAGCTCACACCAGCCTTGGCAGCCTTGACTTCCTGCACTGAAGCGATCCTCCAACCTCAGCCTCTTGAGTAGCTGAGACCATAGGCGTGCACCACCACACTCAACTAATTTTTTTTAAATTTATTTAATTTATGTTTTTTGAGAGGGAGTGTTGCTCTCTTGCCCAGGCTGGAGTGCAGTGGCGTGATCTCAGCTCACTACAACCTCTGCCTCCTGGGTTCAAGTGATTCTTGTGCCTTAGCCTCCTGAGTAGCTGAGACTACATGCATATGCCACCATGCCAGGCTAATTTTTGTATTTTTAGTAGAGATGGGGTTTCACCATGTTGGCCAAGCTGGTCTCGAACTCCTGACCTCAGGTGATCCACTCACCTCGGCCTCCTAAAGTGCTGGGATTACAGGCATGAGCCCCTGTGCCTGGCTGGGCTAATTCTTAAATTTTTTGTAGAGATGGGGTCTTCCTATGTTGCCTCGGCTGGTCTTGAACTCCTGGGCTCAAGTGATCATCCTAGCTCAGCCTCTCAAAGTGCTGGGATTACAGACATGCACCACTGTGCCTGGCCGAGTATTGCTATCTTAACAATATTATCTCCCAATCCATGAACATAGAATGTTTTTCCATTTATTTGGATGTTTTTTAGTTTCTTTCAAGAATGGTTTGCAGTTTGGGGAGTATAATTTTTGCATTTCTTTTGTTAAAGTTATTCCTAAATAATGTATTCTTATTGATACTATTGTAGATGAAACTTTTATTAATTTTATTTTTGAACTGTTCATTGCAAGTGTGTAGAAACACGATTGATTTTTGTGTATTGATCTCATATCTTGCAGCCTTGCTAAAATTATTTATTAGTTCTAATCTCCCCTCTTAAGGCTTAAACTCTAGTTGGAAATCAAGGTTAGGGGAGGGGTACAGCCAAGGACTTACATTTCTTTTTTTTTTTTTTGAGGCAGAGTCTTGCTCTGTCGCACAGGCTGGAGTGCAGTGGCGCGATCTCAGCTCACTGCAACCTCTGCCTCCCGAGTTCAAGCAATCCTTTGCCTCAGCCTCCCGAGTAGCTGGGATTACAGGCGCCCACCACCCCACCCGGCTAATTTTTTGTATTTTTAGAAGAGGCGGGGTTTCACCATCTTGGCCAAGCTGATCTTGAACTCCTGACCTCGTGATCCACCTACCTCGGCCTCCCAAAGTGCTGGGATTACAGGTGTGAGCCACCATGCCCGGCCAGGATTTACACTTCTTATTGTTCACACTTCACTTTTTGTTTTTTCATTTTTACATTTATTTTATTTTATTTCTTTTTTTTTTTTTTTTTTTGAAATGAGGGTCTTGCTATGTTGCTGAGGCCGTTCTCAACCTCCTGGGCTCAAGCAATCCTCCCACCTCAGCCTCCCGAGTAGCTGGGATTACAGGCACATGCCACCATGCCCAGTCACTTTTTGACATATAAAACTATGCACATGTATTGCTTTCATAGAGATAAAAATAATATAAAAAGTATCCTGGCACAGTCCCCAGGACAACTCTTTACAGCTGCCACTCATCAGCTTAGTGTCTTGACAGTTAAGGCCAGGCCAAGGTCCCACTGTGACCTTTTTCCCTCCCTAAAGCTGCTTTGGGACTCTTTACCTTAAAGGGGTTAAAAAGAGGGAGAAATGTTTATAAATTCTAAAAGTAACTTAAGATAATATTTTAAAGTACTTAGCCATTAAAAGTAACTTTTATTTATCAAGATACAATTAGGTATCTGGCAAAGATGGCATGTCAAATCACTGAAGTAAAGAAAGACTTTGAAAAAATGCTAGAACAAATGGGTAGGCACTTGGAAAATATATATAGATGAATACTTCACACCATATGTAAGAATCAACTTCTAATAGATGAGGGATCTATATGTAAAAAAGGAAACCATTCAAGCACCATTAAAAGTAACAGCAGGGCTGGGCACAGTGGCTCATGCCTGTAATCCCAGCACTCTGGGAGACCGAAGTGGTCGGATCACCTGAGGTCAGGAGTTCAAGACTAGCCTAGCCAACATGGTGAAACCCCATCTCTACTAAAAATACAAAAAAAAAAAAAAAAATTAGCTGAGCATGGTGGCACGCACCTGTAATCCCAGCTACTCGGGAGGCTGAGGCAAGAGAATCACTTGAACCTAGGAGGTGGAGGTTGCAGTGAGCCAGTCGTGCCACTGCACTCTAGCCTGGGCAACAGAGCGAGACTCTATCTCAAAAATAAACAAACAAACAAACACATAAATAAATAAAAGTAATGGCAAAACCTCAATCACTTTTGCACCAACATATTAGAAAAACACACGGGTAGATTCCTCTTTAACTTCAGTGTAGGGAATGGCTTTTGAACTGGGGCTCAAAATTCAGACGTAATAAAAGATTGATAAATGTGATGATATGTAAATGCTTAAATTTGCGTGACAAAAGTACCATAAAGAAGGACAAAGGATAACTGACAAAAATAGGAGAAAATATTCACACATATACCATAGACAAGGAGTAAAATCCTTAAAATATAAAAAATGCTTAAAATTTGAGGACAAAGGACCAAAAACTCAACAGAAAAATGGGAAAAGATGTGAACAGACAACAAACAAAAAAAGATAGAAAAATGTCTCTCAAATATATGAAAAAATGTCAGACTCATTCATAATTAGAAAAATGCAGATTAAAACAACACTGAGATACCATTTTTACCTGGAAAAGTTTAGATAGACAAAAATTTAAAAATACAGACTGACAGTATATTCTGTTGGAGAGACTGTAAGGGAAATACACAGTCTCATTCATTACTGGTGGGAATGAAAATTGGTTCAACGCTTCTGGAGAGAAATTTGGTAATATCTGAATAAACGACATATGCACTTATATTTTGACCCAGCAATCTCATTTCTAGAAATTTACCCTGAAGATAAACTTCCAACAATATAAACATATATATGCATAAGTTTATTGCAGGTTTGATTTTTTGTTTTTGAGACGGAGTCTCGCTCTGTCGCCCACGCTGGAGTGCAGTGGCGTGATCTCGGCTCACTGCAAGCTCTGCCTCCTGGGTTCACGCCATTCTCCTGCCTCAGCCTCCCGAGCAGCTGGGTCTACAGGTGCCCGTCACCACGCCCGGCTAATTTTTTGTAATTTTTTGTATTTTTTTGTATTTTTAGTAGAGACGGGGCTTCACCATGTTAGCCAGGATGGTCTCGATCTCCTGACCTCGTGTTCCGCCTGCCTCAGCCTCCCAAAGTGCTGGGATTACAGGCATGAGCCACTGCGCCCGGCCAATTTTTTTTTTTTTTTTTTTTTTTTAAGACAGAGTCTTGCCCTGTCACCCAGCCTGGAGTGCAGTGGCGCGATCTCGGCTCACTGCAACCTCTGCCTCCAGGGTTCAAGTAATTCTCCTGCCTCAGCCTCCCAAGTAGCTGGGATTACAGGCATGTGCCACTACTTCAAGAATTGAAAAAACATACTGGTTTTTATACCTTTTGCATATTTATCTTTTTTTAAATTTTTTTAGACAGGATCTCACTCTCTTGCCCAGGCTGGGGTAGAGTGGCATGATCATGGCTCACTGCATCCTTGACCTTCTGGGCTCAAGGGATCCTCTCACCTCAGCCTCCTGAGTAGCTGGGACTAGGGGCATGCATCACCACACACCCAGCTAATTTTTTATTTTTTGTAGAGACCAGGTCTCGGCATGGTTCCCAGGCAGGTCTTGAACTTCTGCACTCAAGCAATCCTCTCCCACCTTGGCCTCTAAAAGTGTTGGGATTATAGGCATGAGCTACTGCATCTGGCCTGTATTTTTATCTTGAATACAACTACCATATCACTACTTTTATTGATTCAAGTAGTTTTTTTTTTTCTTCAAACCGGAGTCCTTGGGATATACAGGCATAAATCTTTTTTTTTTTTTTTTTTTTTTTTTTTTGAGACGGAGTCTCACTCTGTCACCCACACTGGAGTGCAGTGGCACGATCTCGGCTCACTGCAAGCTCCACCTCCCAGGTTCATGCCATTCTCCTGCCTCAGCCTCCCGAGTTGCTGGTACTACAGGTGCCCACCACCAAGCCCAGCTAATTTTTTGTATTTTTAGTAGAGATGGGGGTTTCACCGTGTTAGCCAGGATGGTCTCGAACTCCTGACCTCATGATCCGTCCGCCTCGGCCTCCCAAAGTGCTGAGATTACAGGCATGAACCACAGTGCCCGGCCGCATAAATCTTATAATCAGCTGAAAGATATCATTTTATCTTTTCTTATCCAATATATATACCAGTTGTTTAACTTTTTTGTATTATGTATTCTATGTATTTATCATAATATTTAAAATAATATAGTTCCACGTTCTAATAGTCCATCATTTAAAACAGGAAAAAGAAGAAAATCATATAAAGGGAAAGATTGATAAATTGTATTATATTAAAATTAAGAACTTCTGGTTTTCAAAAGATACCACAATGAAAATGAAAATATAAGCTACAAACTGGGAGAAGATATTTGGCACATAATTGACAAAGAATTATAACTGAGAAAAACATAACTAACTTCTACAAATAAGTAAGAAATACCAAACAACTCAGCCGGGCACAGTGGCTCACACCTGTAATCCCAGCACTTTGGGAGGCTGAGGTGGGCAGATCATTTGAGGTCAGGAGTGGGAGACCAGCCTGGCCAAGATGGTGAAACCCTGTCTCTACTAAAAAAATACAAAAATTAGCCAGGTGTGGTGGTATGTGCCTGTAATCCCAGCTACTCAGGAGTCTAAGGCACGAGAATCACTGGAGCCCAGGAGGTGGAGGTTGCAGTGAGCCGAGATCACCCCTGCACTCCAGCCTGGGCAATGCATCGAGATTCTGTCTCAAAAAAAAAAAAGAAAAAAATAAAGAAATACCAAACAACCCGTGAGAAAAATGGAAGAAAAACACATACATACATTTCATGAGTATACAACCCACAGAAACACGAACAGAAGCACAGTCTCACTACTTAACAGGGAAAGGCAAATTCAAACCATAATGAGATAATTTTATACCCACCATATTGCAAAAAAAAAAAAAAAAAAGGAGTTAAGTTTGACACAATCAAAAGATGGCAAGGATGTGGAGCAATAAGCAACCTTACACACGGCTGATAGGACTCCAAATTGGTGTATTGATTTTGGAAACCAATTTGGCATTATCTAGAACACCTGAAATGGATGTGCCCTATGACTCAGAAATTCCATTTACTGGGCATGTGCTCAGGAGAAACTCTTACATGTGGGCGCAATGAGGCAAACAAGAATGTTCAAAGCTATATTATGTATCATAACAAAAAACTAGAAACAGCCCTTATGTTCTCAATTAGAATGGACAAACAAATCCTGATATAACAAAATAATAAAATACTGAAAGCAATGAAAATAAACTACATCTACATGAATTAAAATCTATACATTTCATTGACATAATGTTGAGTAAGAAAAGAGCTAGCTGCCAAAAATATATTTATAATGTTGGTTTCATTCATATTAAGTTAAACGTGTAAAAATAAAAGTATATGTTTAAAACTATATGTTTTAAGGATACATGTGTATTTGATTAAACTATGATTAAATTAAATTAAACTTGATTACAGAATGAGGAAAACTATGGTTGGAGAAATTTGCAGGCAGGATCAGGGAAGAGTCTACAGCGTATTTCTTAAAACTAGATATTTCTTGCCTTGACATCTCAGCAAACAAACAAAACTGGGTATTTCTTAAACTAGGTGGTGGGTACACTGGTGTTCATTTGATGGTTATTGTCTATACTACTTGTTATTAAACTTGGCTGCAATTGGGATCGCCTAAAGGGCTTAAAAATAATACCGATGCCTCACTCCCACCTCAGAGATTTTGATTTAATTTCATGAGGTCTGGCAAATATTATCCTAAATGGAAACCCTAAAGATTCCTTAAAATGTATTACTCTAAAGATAAATGGCCTCATTCCTGATGTTTTTTAAAACTTTTCATTTTGAAATAATTTCAGACTTACCTCAAAGTTTCCAAAATAGTAGCGTTCCTGTAGTATCTTTTACCCAGCTTCCTCTAGTGTTAACACTTACGCAACCTAGTACAATGATCAAAACCGGGAAATTAACATTGCTAAATACTGTTCTTCAGCCGTTATTCAAATATTGCCAGTTTTCCCACTAATGTTCTTTCATTGGTCCAAGGTCTAATCCAGGATCTTACATTTCTCTAAGCCATCATGTCTTCTTAGTCTATTCCAATCTGTGACAGTTCCTCAGTCTTTCTTTGTCTTTCATGACCTTAATACTTTTGAGGACTGCTGATTAGTTATTTTACAGAGAGTAGCTGAATTTAGTTTGTCTGATATTTTCTTACAATTAGATTGAGGTTATGCATTTTTGGCAAGAATTCCACAGCAGGTATGTTGCCCCCTTCTTGGTGCATTATGTAAGGGATTATATTATGTTGATATATCTCATTACTGGTGATATTAACTCTGATCACTTAGTTAAGGTGGTGTCTATGAATTAATCAAGTTATCAAATCTCTCTTATTTCATTCTCAAAGGAAAACTCATCAATTATTGAGGACCTCTGACTGTCACTCTAATGCATGAATAAAGAGGTGCTGGATTAAAATACATGGGCATACAGACATACATGCACATATGTGCACATACAAATTAAAGACAAGATATTTCAACTCCATTATATTCATCAGTGATATGGTTTGGCTGTGTCCCCACCCAAATTTCATCTTGTATTGTAGTTCCCATAATCCCCACGTGTCATGGGAGGGACCCTGTGGGAGGTAATTGAATCATGAGGGCGGTTTCCCCCGTGCTGTTCCCATAATAGTGCGTTCTCATGAGATCTGATGATTTTATAAGGGGCTTTCCCCGCTTTTGCTCAGCACTTCTCCTCGCTGCTGCCATGTGAAGAACGAAGGTTTTGCTTCCCCTTCCACCATGATTATAAGTTTCCTGAGGTTTCCCCAGCCCTGCGGAACTGTGAGTCAATTAAACCCCTTTCCTTTAAACTACCAAGTCTCAGGCAGTTCTTTACAGCAGTGTGAGAATGGACTAAAACAGTCAGTTATTACCACAATAATGCTTCATAACACACCTCCTATGTCTCAGACTTACAACAACAAGTTCATGGATCTTTGCATGGGCTGGAGCAACCTTGCTTTAGGCTATAGGGTGCCTGAGTGTGGCTCTAGGCTTCTACTTGGGTTCAGGACTGCTCAACATGTTTCCTCAGTTCTTTGGACCAGCAGCTAACTGGGGCATGTCCTGTAAACTTTTTGTCTTGAAATAATTTTAGACTTACTACAGTGTTTCCAAAATAGTACAGAGTTCCTGTATATCTTTTACGCAGCATTCCCTGGTGTTAACATCTTACACAATCACAGTACAGCGATCATAACCGGGAAATTAACATTCATACAATACTATTCTTCAGCCATTATTCAAATATCGCCAGTTTTCTCACTCAAAGGAAAAACTCCTAAATCTTCGTTAAAAAAATCACAGGAACAACTGTGTGCAGTGGCTCATGGCTGTAATCACAGCATTTTGGGAGGCCAAGGCGGGCGGATCACGAGGTCAGGAGTTTGAGACCAGCCTGACCAACATGGTGAAACCCCATCTCTACTAAAAATACAAAAATTAGCCCTGCGTGGTGGCACGCACCTGTTAATCCCAGCTACTCAGGAGGCTGAGGCAGGAGAATCGCTTGAACCCAGGAGTTGGAGGTTGCAGTGAGCTGAGATGGTGCCACTGCACTTCAGCCTGGGTGACAGAGCGAGACTCCATCTCAAAAAAGAATAAATAAATACATACATAAATAAATAATCGCAGGAACATATCGGAAATTATTGTCTCTTGAAGCAAGAACTGTCACACCGTTCCTTCAACTCATAGTTCTTTTCTTTTTTTTATTATTTGTTTGTTTGTTTGTTTGTTTGTTTTTTGAGACGGAGTTTTGCTCTTTATTGCCCAGGCTGGAGTGCAGTGGTGTGATCTCGGCTCACTGCAACCTTTGCCTCCCAGGTTCAAGTGATTCTCCTGTCTCAGCTGCCCAAGTAGCTGGGATTACAGGCGTCCGCCACCATGCCCGGCTAATTTTTTGTATTTTTAGTAGAGATGGGGTCACACCATTGTTGGCCAGGCTGGTCACAAACTCCTGACTTCAGGTGATCCACCCGCCTTGGCCTCCCAAAGTGTTGGGATTATAGGCGTGAGCCACCATGCCCGGCCTCAACTCATATTTCATTAGTCAAAGTAACTCACAGGAAATACATCCCTTCCCTAGTGGGGAGAACTGCAAAGTCACATGGCAAAGAGTATAAAGGTAAAATTTGGATACAGAGTATGAAAAACTAAGAATAGTCATGTGATCTACCTAACTGACCTTGTGTTTTTTCAAAAGTGACAAGTTGTGAATAGTGTTGCAACGAAAAGATAAATAAAATCAAGTGACATGATCTTTGACATACAGTAGTCGCCCCTAAAGTAATTGGAGAAAAACATGTGTTTCTTACGGTGAGGATAGATCTAAGGGCTATGGCTAGATTAAGAGAGTACTAAAAGAACCCTCGGATAGTCACATAGTTTAACATAATTTAGTCATCCCTTCTCTCTGTTAAACTTAACTTTTTCTCAGTACACCTAAAATAATTTCAAAAAGATATGTTCTTCCTCACCTACTTCTAACTTGTTTCAAAGAACATAATTTGAGGCATAATGTAAATATTGACTTTTAAAAATAGAAGTTATATTACTTTTTCTGGCCGGGTGTGGTGGCTCACGCCTATAATCCCAGCACTTTGGGAAGCTGAGGTGACTGGATCATGAGGTCAGGAGTTGAAGACCAGCCTGGCCAATATGGTGAAACCCCGGCTCTACTAAAAATACAAAAAATTAGCCAGGCGTGGTGGCGTGTGCCTGTAGTCCCAGCTATTCGGGAGGCTGAGGCAGGAGAATCGCTTGAACCCAGAAGGCGGAGGTTGCAGTGAGCCGAGATTGTGCCATTGCACTCCAGCCTGGGCACCAGGGTAAGACTCTGTCTAAATAAATAAATAAATAAAAACAGACGTTATATTACTTCTTAAAGTGTATCTACCAAATCTAATTAGCATAGGGTTTTGGTATATTCCATCATTCATCATACAAGAGAGAAAATAACACTCTTCTTCAATAGACAGACATTTTATATAATTTATTTTATCTTTGAAAAATTTTTCATTCCTTTTCCTCACAAAATTTGATTTTAATATGTGTTCAAAAGTCTTTTATTAATCATCTTATCATATTTCTCTGAGCAAAAATGTGTCTAAGAATTGAAATTATTTTAAATTGTTTTTATTTCCTGTCATCTTAAAGTTCTTTTTTTTTTTTTTTTTGAGGCAGAGTCTCGCTCTCTTGCCCAGGCTGGAGTGCAGTGGTGTGATCTCCACTCACTGCAAGCTCCGCTTCCTGGGTTCACGCCATTCTCCTGCCTCAGCCTCCCAAGTAGCTGGGACTACAGGCACCCGCCACCATGCCCAGCTAACTTTTTGTATTTTCAGTAGAGATGGGGTTTCACAGTGTTCGCCAGGATGGTCTCGATCTCCTGACCTCGTGATCCGCCCGCCTCGGCCTCCCAAAGTGCTGGGATTACAGGCGTGAGCCACCGCACCCAGCCGATCTTAAAGTTCTAAGTGGTCAATGTTTCTTCTGGATTAAATGATCACTACAGTTATTAGTAATAAACAAACAATCACAAAAAGTAAATACACTTTTAAAAAATAATTGTTAAGCATTGTAAGAGAAACAATTCTCAGAGAATTGAAACTCTTGGTCCAGGTCCAGGGACACCTGGGAAGCTGACCCTGAATTTACTTTCTTGCAAAATTAGTTCTCAAAATGTACTAAGTTACGGTAAGTGTAGAATGTTGTGTGGACCATGCTTTTTCCACCTGAAGTGTATCTGGTTGTTGGGGCTATTTGTTGTATAACCTTTCATTGAGGTGCTACAGCTGCTCCCAAAGAATGTTATTTATGGCCGGGCGTGATGGCTCACGCCTGTAATCCCAGCAACTTGGGAGGCCGAGGCAGGCAGATCATGAGGTCATGAGTTTGAGACCATCCTGGCCAACATGGTGAAACCCCGTCTCTACTAGAAATACAAAAATTAGCTGGGCATGGTGGCATGAACTTGTAATCCCAGCTACTCAGGAGGCTGAGGCAGGAGAATTGCTTGAACTCGGGAGGTGGAGCTTGCAGTGAGCCAAGATCGGGCCATTGCACTCCATCCTGGGCAACAGAGTGAGACTCTGTCTCAAAAAAAAAAAAAGTTATTTATTAAGTTATACACACCCTGAGGAATGATATGACTAATAAGTTATAAAAAGTCAAAGAGCAGATAGTAGAAGAGCTTCCCAGTGCCAAGGTGGTCCATCTTGCTTTACCTTCATCCCTTGTAACTGAGCATGACCCATGAAATGATAAGCTTGGAAACTGTGCCTGGGATATTGCAAGGCCTTTTGCTCAAAGCAGTGCTTGCTTGGATGCTGAACTACCTGTCCTGCATCCTTTGAATAAAATAAGTAAACTGGTATTGAAACTGTGTCGTTTTGATCTGGGCGCAGTGGCTCATGCCTGTAATCCCAGCACTTTGGGAGGTTGAGGCTGGTGGATCACCTGAGGTCAGGAGATCGAGACCAGCCTGGGCAACATGGCAAAACCCTGTCTCTACTAAAAATACAAGCCAGGCATGGTGGCGGGCGCCTGTAATCCTAGCTACTTGGGAGACTGAGGCAGGAAAATTGCTTGAACCCGGGAGGTGGAGGTTGCAGTGAGCCGAGTTTGTACCATTGCGCTCCAGCCTGGGCAACAAGAGTGAAACTCCATCTCAGAAAAGAAAAAAGAAACTGCGTTGTTTTGTTAGTCTTTCCATCAATCCAGGTTTGTATCAAAAGTGGCGATTGATTCCGGTGCTTTGGGAGTGATGAAAAAGAAAAATTAAATTAAAAATAAAGTGGCAATTGATACGAAGACCTCTGACCCCGTAGAGGCAAAAAACCCTTATGTTGTAAGAAGATGAATAGGGAACAAATAATTTTGATGCCTGAAAGATTGCTTAACCATCATGTTGTTTGATATGACTCCATCCAAGAATTGCTCTTATCAGTGAAATTTAAAAAAACATTGATCTAATTCACTAAGAACTGATTAAATGGGTTGAAAAAAGAGAAGCAAGCAGTGCAGGGAAAAGCTAGAAATACTATCCCATGTTCGTTTCTTATGGCTTTTTTGGAAATGAAAGCATTGACAAAGAGAAGGGAAAGGAAAGCCAAGAGCTCTAAGCCTAGCAAAATCTGATCTTCATAGCTTCCCTAGTACCTGTGAGGGAAAGGGAGGGACAACATAGTTAAATCACACTGCCATCCCACTGAGATCCCTCCTTAATCAAACTAGCCCAGATCCCAATAGGGGCATGCAAGGCGTTACAGAGGACAAGCATTATAGTATAAAGAAGTTGAGTAATTTTGTTGAAAAATAACAGCAACTGCTTAAGAAATCCTTGTGATCTTGGATCCTTAGATAAAATGATCAGGATGCCAAAAATGTAATTGTGGATTCTGCATAATGAAGCAGTTTGCATGGAATAAGCATCTATATTATGGAAACAAATTGTATCTAATGAGTCCTTCTGTCATTCCTGAACTTAACACTAATAGCTGAGTTAGTGGGTGCTCCAATATGGAAGTAAAACATTACTGGAAATACTTATTTTAGTGAAATGGATGTCGTATGGATGCTCATGACTTTTTAATAAAATGCACAGGGTTCAGCATCAAATCCATGTAAACCTTTGGCAATGGGACCAGGCGTGGTGGCTCACGCCTGTAATCCTAGCACTTTGGGAGGCCGAGGCAGGTGAATCACCTGAGGTCAGGAGTTCGAGACCAGCCTGGCCAACATAGTGAAACTCCATCTCTACTAAAAATACAGAAAATTAGCTGGGCGTGGTGGCAGACACCTGTAATCCTATCTGCTCGGGAGCCTGAGGCAGGAGAATCACTTGAACCTGGGAGGCGGAGGTTGCTGTGAGCTGAGATCGCACCATTGCACTCCAGCCTGGGCGACAGAGCGAAACTCCATCTCAAAAACAAACAAACAAACAAACAAACAAAAAGGTTGGCAATGTTGAACTTTACCTGAGCATCATACTCCTGGAAAATAGCAATAGTTTAAAAATCCCTCCACTCTTTTGCGGTCCTGAAAATGGCTTACTGCAAAAATCCACCCTTCCCTATATGATTTAGATAAGACCAATGGATGACGACCCCCTTGTTTACCTAAGACAAAGACAACACAGGCTCTCCAAATTCCCATTATTTTATCTCATAAATGATTAGATGAACTGTTTGCACTGACCAGTCTGGACAAAATACCTGCTAATCTGACCTGACCAAACTCTAGTTAGGCTTCTCTTTTCCCCTGAGGCCCCTGAACTTTGGCCTACTGTTGAGTTTAAACAAGCATTGGAATGTGGAACAACCTCCTTAATGACCCTTCCAGAATTGGCTGACTGCAAAGAAAAATTGTCCAATGTGCCACTCTCTGATTCCATTTCCCCCATACTCTGTTCCTTCTAACCTTGTTTGCTCCAGTGGAGTATTCTTTCACAATAGCTTTCCCCCTGCCACCCCCATTACATAAGTCTTTTTGAAAAAGGCCTTTCTTTATCTAAGTATGGATTTGTTTTTATTGGACTCCTTGTAGCATAAATAGGTAGAATGGAATAGAAGGGGTTTTATTATAGTGATTTCATTCAATTATTTGAACTCTTTCTGAAGTATATGCCAAAACCCACATAGTTACTGATTATCAAAAGTTGATTTTTAATGAAATTTGGTATGTCAACTTTCTCAGCTCTCTTTCAATTTTGTTGAAAGCAAAGAATTGGGAAACATCTAACTTGCAAAAGATGCATTACTCCATCATCAGAGTCATCCACTTCCTCACTGGCCAGCACTGATATTTAGAAATGTATCTTTCCTGGAGCCCTGGAGGTTCCTCCTCCCATAAGCAATGCACCATAGTGGGTGTATATCAGTAGCAGGAGCTTGGATATAAATGGGGAGCTGGAAGAGTAGGACTGGGTAACATCTGAGAGCTAGCATGATAGAAGATCTCTTTTAAGAAAAAGCATAGACAGAAGTTGAGAATCTAGAAACTCATTTTCTAAAAACTAACTGCCAATGGTCCATTCTCTGTCTTCATCAGAGCTGCCATTTTGCTGTTGCCACTTGCTAGTGTTGAAAAAGCCTCCTGCTTCAGGTTCACTATCAGCATGAATGAAGAAAAGGTGGCCAGATTTCAGGCTCAGATCCAGAATGGTGATAAGGGTACCTTCCCTTACAGAAAGAAGATAACATATAGAATAGCAACAGCTGATGTCAAAAAGCCTCTTTTCTTTTTTAAAATAGCGGTGAGTAACTATTACTGGAATGGAATAGATAAACCTAAATAGAGGTAAAGGGGTAATCCCAGGACTCAGGCTTGCCTCTCTTATAGCATTATAATTACTCATCATGCAAAAGCCAAAACAGTGTCAGCAATGCTCCCTGGAATATTAAGGTAGCTGGGCACTGACAATGTTACAAGTTCTAGGAAGTTAGCCAAATAGTCTTTCTCGTAGCAAGTATTGAATAGCAAAACATGAAAAGTAGGAGACTAGTGGCTCTGTCCTCAATTACTGGCTTCGCGTTTCCTTTATTATTTTTTGGATTTTAAGCTTGCATACACTTACTAAATAATTGCATGTCAATCTTATCCCGTGTCCTAACTCTTCTTACTAGCACTGCAGAATTCTGTCTTTTCAGCAAGGTTGAAATTGTGAATGCCCTTTTTGTCCCTAACAACTATGTCAAGATATAATTCACATGCAATACAATTCACCCATTTCAATATATTTTGGCTAATTCGTTATTCATTTACAAATTGTGGTAAAGTATGTATAACATAAAGTTTGCCATCTTGGCTTTTTTAAGTGTATAGCTTAGTGGTATTAATGAATGATATTCACAATGTTGAGCAGCCACCACCACTATTTACTTCTGAAACTTCAACATGCCCAAAATAAACTCTAATTATTAAGCAATAACTCCCCAACCTCTGATAATCTCTAATCTACTTTTGTTACTGGAAAGGGGTCCTGATCCTGACTCCAAGAGAAGGTTCTTGGATCTCGTGCAAGAAAGAACTCAGGGCGAGTCTGTAAATTAAAGTGAGAACAATGTATTAAGAAAGTAAAGGAGTGAAAGAATGGGTACTCTATAGACAGCAGCCCCAAGGGCTGCTGGTTGCCCATTTTTATGGCTATTTCTTAATATGCTAAACAAGGGGTGGGTTATTCATGCCTCTCATTTTTAGACCATATATAATAACTTTCTGACGTTGTCATGGCATTTGTAAGTTGTCATGGCACTGGTGGGAGTGTAGCAGTGAGGATGACCAGAGGTCACTCTTGGTACCATCTTGGTTTTGGTGGGTTTTAGCTGGCTTCTTTACTATAACTTGTTTTATCAGCAAGGTCATTATGAACTGTATTTTGTGCTGACCTCCTATCTCATCCTATGAATCAGAATGCCTTAACTGTCTGGGAATGCCACCCAGTAGGTCTCAGCCTTATTTCACCCAGCCCCTTTTCAAGATGGAGTTGCTCTGGTTCCAATGCCTCTGACATTTCCCACCTTCCTTTTATAAGAGAACCCTTAATCCTAAGGGCTGCAGAGGGACAAAGATCCATTTTCTGTAACTTCTTTATGCTGAATAGGGGCAATGATATTCCTGCCTAACTATTAGGGTCTTTTGTGTTTACGGTAGAGAGGAGCTTAGTTAGAAAGCATTGGCCTGGGCGCAGTGACTCACGCCTGTAATCCCAGCACTTTGGGAGGCCGAGGTGGGCAGATCACCTGAGGTCAGGAGTTTGAGACCAACCTGGCCAACGTGGTGAAACCCCGACTCTACTAAAAATACAAAAATTAGCCAGGCGTGGTGGCGGGTGTCTGTAATCCTAGCTATTCAGGAGGAAGAGGCACGAGAATCACTTGAACCAAGGAGGCGGAGGTTGCAGTGAGTTAATATCGCTCCACTGCACTCCAGCCTGTGTGACAGAGTGAGATTTTTGTCTCAAAAAAAGAAAGAAAGAAAGAAAGCATTGGTATGTTGAGGGCCATTTATAACTTTTGAGTTCCAACAAAAGGTGATATTTGGAAGATTAATAAGTGTTTAAGAAAACATTGAGTAAGCTTATTTTGCATTGCTATACAAAGAGTACAACAGCAATATATTTCACCACACTAAAACAACATAAGCAAAATTATCCCAACTTAACTAAGTTAGAAGGCTTTCTATCAACTGGGCAAGTGTTAGAACCAAGCTGATAGGGGGTTGCTAGATGATTCCAGTATGTGCCCAGAATTAGATATTGATTCAGATTTTGACATTACCCATCCTCTCATTTCTTTTGAGCAGCAGTTAGAGATTACTGGTTGATTTACAGGAATAAGCAGAGTCAGTTTAATTTGCAGGGAAAAAAAATTTAAAGCAACTGATGAGACTAGAATTTAATAACAAGTGTACCACAGTTCTTGAAACATTAAGTTTTCTGTCTCCAGTTTCCCATTTTTATTAAAGACAAATTATGGTAACACCAACTTGCTTTATTATACTTGGCCTGATTGTTTGCATAAAGTGTAGCAAGAATAATTATTTTTCACATAAGCTTTTTGTAAATTGGAACTCTGTTCCATAGAAGGAATCTTAGATAAGATTTTTTTAGATCCGAGCCCTGCCATTGGTTTGTATGCTTAAATACCTATGAGCTAGGTAAATTCCTCTCCTCTTGAGGTTCCAAGATAACCTGGGGCTTCTGGGCCTGTTAGAAAGTGACATTCTTTACTTATCACAGGTCAGAAACCCTGTGCAGGGACTGTGTAGGCAAGGTATGAGGCCAGTTCTCCCAAGGGACTTGTATTGGCCCTATAAGTTAAATTTAATTCCTTAAAGGAAAACACACCATTCCAGTTAAAGCCTTGGTAAAATAACCAGTTTTTCCAATTGCATCCTGTTACAAAAGAAAATGGATTTTTATTGCACTTATGCAAATAACTATATTGCCATAAATTAAGAATACTTACAAATAGTTTCCATATTTTAGAGAAATCTGGTAGAGAGAAACAAATATGATCCACGTTTTGTTTACAGGAGTATACTTAATTGTTAAAAGCTGTAAATAGCTTCTATTAGTTTAGTCCATGCAGTTAATTCCTGTTTGATATTTATGAACATTTCAGCTTTCCGTGAGTCCGAAAGTTTTTTCCTGTATTTTAATATTACAGTGTTCAAAGGTATTAGAAACCTGAATTTAAGAGCACCTGTTAGAGTCCTATAGCTGATTATAAACCATTTTTTTAAAGAGGAATAAAACAACAAGTGTCCGTGGATGACAAAATGTCTTAGGACAGTCACAGTTAAAAACACAATTGACAAAGAAATTTGGTTACCTCTGTGGCATACAATGATTTTATGTAACAATTATAATTATTAATAATATACACTAAGTTATATTAGAATTATTTTGGAACACATACCAATAACATATTTATACAAATATAGCCCAAAGAAGCTAAACATTATTTTATATTTGACAGTGCTTCTTGTATGATTTTTATATAAAATAAGCCAAATGTCACTTTTACATTAGTGTACTATTACTGTCAAACCCAGTTTTTAATAAAACCTTATAGACAAATGTATTTAATCAGTTTGACCATAAGGTAAGATTTTTATAAACCTCTTTTATAACTACCTTTACAATATTTGTTAAAGAGCAGAGTAAAAGCAGGTTTTTGCTTTAAGAAAAACCTGTTGTGCTTTTATTCCAATGTTTAGTTTAAAACTGAATAATACCCCTTTAACTTTAGCCAATCTGTTCACACATAGATTTTTTTTATAATTAATTTTTTTATAAAACGTTTACAACTTGTTTAAACCTTTAGAATTTTCCTATTTCACTTAAAGCAATCCTTTAACCCTTTAGGCAAAAAAAATACATGCCCATGCCTTTTTATAATTTTTTACTAAAAACAAAGTTTACTTTTCTTACACACCTTGCATGTAAAACTGTTTCTTCAGTAGTCACAAATACATGTTACACTGTTAACTCTTAGTGACTTTAACTTTTGGTGAAAACCTTGGTAAGTTCAGGGTTTTAATTAGGTATGGAGCCGAGGACAGCAGACAGAAGTGCAGATAAGGTCTGATTTTTTTTTAGCATTTACGTGTCCCAGGCCTTACCTAGCTGTAAAGCAGGAAAGTTTTACAGTTACAAGTTATAGTGGCATTTTATGACACATTTAGGAAGCCTAATTACCTTTAAATTGTACAACATTTTTTGCATAAATTATTTTCATATTTTTATGACTTACACAGACCATTTATGACATGCTTGGACTTTCGGACTTGTCCTAAACATACCTCTTGTCAAACAACCATTTTACTTTAGAACAAGAATTTACCATACAAGATCCTTTGTTATATAAAATCTTTTTCTTTATAACCTTCTTTGTATAGCTAGGGGGCATGGCTAATCCCATATATCCCCAGGCCTTATCTAGAATTTAATGCTTTAAAATGAATTGAGGCTGGGCATGGTGGCTCAGGTCTGTAATCCCAGCACTTTGGGAGGCCAAGTGGGGCGGATCACTTGAGGTCAGGAGTTAGAAACCAGCCTGGACAATGTGGTGAAACCCTGTCTGTACTAAAAATGCAAAAACTAGCCAGGCATGGTGGTACGTGCCTGTAATCCCAGCTACTTGGGAGGCTGAGGCAGGAGAATCACTTGAATCTAGGAGGTAGAGGTTACATTGAGCTGTGATTGTGCCACTGCACTCCAGCCTGAGCAACAGCATGGAACTCCATCTCAAAAATAAATAAATAAAATAGAATAAAATAAATTGAACAATTTGTAAAAGTCAAAGAAGCAGTTTATGACCTGCCACTCTGCTTAGCACCCAATATCAAACTGGCAAGGCTCAAACTTGCCCCCTGTTGGGCCCCATCATCATTAATCCAACCTCTGACCAGAGAGTTTTGACTTGTGATCTCTGGGAAAGATGGTTACCCTGAGTAATAGAAAAAATAAGAAAGGGAAAGGAGAGAGAGAAAAGCCTTGCCTGTGGCAGGATGGGGAAGGTGAAGATCTCAGGGAGTTGAGAGAAAGACCCACCCATTCCAGCAACACTGAATCAAAAGTTCAGGTGGCCGCTTGTCAGCTGTGAAGGGATATTTTTCAGCAGTCCCATCAGCTCTCAAGTTTCCCCTTTTAGGGAAGAAAAAGCTCCCCATGTCCCACGATCCTGTTCATGCCTAATCCTGTCACCCATAGCTGTCAGCAAAGAGTGCAAGGCAGATTATTTGAAAGAGAATAGCAGTTAATAGTGTCAAACCCATTCTTAGCCAAGAAGGACTTTACTGAGAGAGGCCTCTAACTCCCTAAATCTTAGAAGGGATAACTCTTCTAATTTGGGCCTCTAACCCAAGGTTGGTTAAGCGTTCTTGCCTTTTATTAAGATGAGTCTCTAACCCACTCTGTTTCAGGAGAGACTCTAACTCCCCTAAGTTGCACCTCTAACCCAATCCCATCCTTTACTTGGGTACCCCAATTACCCAAAGTTGGCCAATTAGTGCTGCAGTCTGTTTCCTTTGGGTTGAGAAGTATTTTCAGTATTGTCCCACTTGTGGTTCATGAGAAAGATGTTATCAGACCCCAACACTTAACCAAAGTTAGCCTTTGAGTTGGGAGTTTCCACACTATAGTCCCCTCTGGGTCGTCAGAAAGATGTTACTGGAAAGGGGTTCCAATCCAGACCCCAAGAGAGTGTTCTTAGATCTTGCACAAGAAAGAATTCAGGGCACATTCATAGAATAAAGTTAAAGCAAGTTTATTAAGAAAGTAAAGGAATAAAAGAATACTCCATAGACAGAGCAGCCGGCTGCTGGTTGCCCATTTTTATGGTTATTTCTTGACGATATGCTAAACAAGGGGTGGATTATTCATGCCTCCCCTTTTTAGGGCCGGGCACGGTGGCTCATGCCTGTAATCCCGCACTTTGGGAGGCCAAAGCAGGCGGATCATGAGGTCAGGAGATCGAGACCATCCTGGCTAACATGGTGAAACCCGTCACTACTAAAAATACAAAAATTAGCCAGGCATGGTGGTGGGCGCCTGTAGTCCCAGCTACTCTGGAGGCTGAGGCAGGAGAATGGTGTGAACCCAGGAGTTAGAGCTTGCAGTGAGCCGAGATTGCGCCACTGCACTCCAGCCTGGGTGACAGAGCAAGACTCCGTCTCAAAAAAAAAAACAAAACAAAACAATAACAACAACAACAAAACACATACATACCAAAACCAAATGGCTTACAACAAGAATTCCTTTTTTTTTTTTTTTTTAGGAGTCTTGCTCTGTTGCCCAGGCTGGAGTGCAGTGGCGTGATCTCAGCTCACTTCAGCCTCTGCCTCCCGAGTAGCTGGGATTATAGCATGCACCAACATGCCCAGGTAATTTAAGAATTTATTTTTCTTTTATTTTGAGATGGAGTTTCACTCTTGTTGCCCAGGCTGGAATGCAATGGTGCCATCTCAGCTCACCACAACTTCTTCCTCCTGGGTTCAAGCGATTCCCCTGCCTCAGCCTCCCGAGTAGCTGGGATTACAGGCATGCACCACCCGCCTGGCTAATTTTGTATTTTTAGCAGAGATGGAGTTTTTCCATGTTTGTCAGGCTGGTCTCGAATTCCTGACCTCAGGTGATCCACCTGCCTCAACCTCCCAAAGTGCTAGGATTACAGGCATGAGCCACCATGCCTGGCCAAGAATTTATTTATCTTACTGGCAGATCTGCAGGTCAGCTGATAATTGTGCCTCAGACTGACACTCAGATGCCTAGGCTCTGGGGTTCAGGTTGTGCTCATATCTGTTTCCTGAGTCTTATTCTGGGACCCAGGCTGAAGAAGCAGTGCTGGTGGGACATGTTGTTCTTATGAACAATGGCAGGACTAGGAGAGCTATGTCAAACCAAGAGCCAAGTCAAACATATTCAAGGTCTCTCTCCTGTCTTTCCATTAGTAGTACATTTGCCAGAGCAAGTCACAGGGCCAGGCCCAAGAAGTATAATCTTCCCACAGTAGAAGGGAGAGGGGAGTGGATATTCATTGAACAATAAGCCAAACTACTGATCAACCTATCAATCATGCTCATGTTATTAGGTTGGTGTACAGATCTTACATTGGTATTTTGGTTGTACTTACATCGATGTTATCCATACACAAGAAATTACATATATATTCTCTCTTCACTCCCTTTTCAACACATAAGGTAACATTCAATACAAATACCTAATGTAACAGGTCATCTTTAAAATAAATTGTTTCCTGCCAGCAGAGGTGTGCTAAATCATCATCATCATCATCATCATCATCATCATAATTTATGAGAGATTTGGGGCTTTCCCACCTTCTTCTTTAATTCAAGATTGCTGTCCCATACATCATCGATAATTATGCTTTCTGCTGACATAGTCAGATTCAACACTTTAAGTTTGTCACACACATTGTTTTGATATTGAGTGCTTGATTTGGAAATTCTTACAACTGAAAGTGTTGGAAAGGATGAGATTTTTAAAAGGAAAATGAAGGGGAATGTCCAAAAGGAGAAGTTTAAGGGAAAAAAAACTTCAGAGACATTGAGACGACTGTCTGTGAATCTTCAGCACTCCTACATGTTTCGCTCCTGTGTGCCAGGATTATCTTTCTAGGAATGCCTAGTGCAAGCAGGCAGCCCTGGAGAGATAAAGACAAGGACTTCCCCTGAAGCAAATGTATTTACATTCCTAGATAAATAAAGATCAAAACGGTAACTTTCACCGAGAGATTTACAGACATCTTTCCCCAGAAATATTTGCTCACATTCCAGTGTAGAATGTTTCTCTCTGGAAGGGAGGATGGGCAGATTTTCCTGCAGCCCTATGCAAAATGTGAGCCTCCTAAACTCAGACTTCGCCTCCTGTATTGCACCTGAAAGCACCTGTAAGTACCATCTGGCCCTCCCTATGTTGCCTTATGGGAATTGGGGCTCAGGGAACCCAAGCTCTGAAGTCACCTTGGCTGCTGCTTTTACTGTGAATACACGTCTTTGTCTCTGACTCAGAGATCTCCTGTTTTCTAACACGATGTATATAAAAATTTGTGGGCCAGGCGTGGTGGCTCATGTCTGTAATTCCAGCACTTTGGAAGGCCGAGGTGGCTGGATCACCTGAGGTCAAGAGTTCGAGACCAGCCTGGCCAGCATGGTGAAACCTCATCTCTACTAAAAATACAGAAAATTAGTCGGGCATGGTGGCAGACGCCTGTAATCCCAGCTTCTCTGGAGGCTGAGGCAGGAGAATTCCTTGAACCCAGGAGGTGGAGGTTGCAGTGAGCCGAGATCACTGCATTGCACTCCAGCCTGGGCGACAGAGTGAGACTCTGTCTAAAAAAAAAAAAAAAAAATTGTGGCACGGTAACTTGTTAGCTTGCAAGTAGCAGAAAATCTCAGACTTTTCAGTTTCTGACTTCACAAGAAGGAATTAAGAAAAGTCAGGAAAAATGTGAATAAACTGAGGTATCTGTCCCATCCGAAAGTGACCGGGTGACTCTCTTAGTTTAAGAGGATTTATGGAACTGAAGGCAGAAATCTGAGAGGCCAGGTAGTTTGCTGTATTTCCACTCGGTGACATAAGACATAAAATATACGTCCTCAATTAAAAAATAAAGCATGGTCCCTGCCCACATAATGTTTTTATTCAAAGAATACAAGGGGCAAACACTTACAAGAAAAAAAAAAAAGGCTTTTGAAACCTCCAGGGAGGTATGACTCCAGTGCCAGATTGGTGCTGGGGGAAGAAAACAACAAGAGGAAGCAGCTGGCACCAAAAATAAACCAGTACACACTAAAAGGAATAATTTCCTTTTCATTGGAAAAATGGCCCATTCCAGGTCTGGGGCACAGAAATGTCCAATAAAAATAAATCTGGACTTAAGGAGATCATTTTTTAAAATTATTTTATTTTATTATTATTATTATTATTATTATTATTATTATTATTATTATTATTATTTGAGATAGAGTCTTGCTCTGTCACCCAGGCTGGAGTGTAGTGGCATGATCTCAGCTCACTATAACCTCCGCCTCCTAGGTTCAAGCGATTCTGCTGCTGCCTCAGCCTCCCAAGTAACTGGGACTACAGGTGCGTGCCACCAAGCCTGGCTAATTTTTGTATTTTCAGTAGAGAAGGGGTTTCACCATGTTGGCCAGGCTGGTCTCAAACTCCTGATCTCAGATGAGCCACCTGCTTTACCTCCCAAAGTGCTGGGATTATAGGCGTGAGTCATTGCACCCGGCCTATTTTTAAAGTTTTATTTATTTTTTTGAGACTGGGTTATGAGACTGGCTAATTTTTATTTTTGGTAGAGATGGGGTTTCACCATATTGCCCAAGCTGATCTTGAACTCCTTGGCCTCAGATGATCCACCCGCCTTGGCCTCCCAAAGTGTTGGGATTAGAGGCGTGAGCCACTGCAACCAGCCTAGGGAAATAATTTAACTAGAGAGAAAGACTATTGTAATAGTGTATTAGTCGGTTCTCATACTGCTATGAAGAACTGCCCTAGACTGGGTAATTTATAAAGAAAAGAGGTTTAATTGACTCACACTTCTGCATGGCTGGGCAGGCCTCAGGAAACTTACACTCATGGCAGAAGACATCTCTTCACAGGGAGGCAGGAAGGAGAAGTGCTGAGCAAAGGGAGATCTCGTGAGAACTCACTCATTATCATGAGAACAGCATGGGGGAACCACCCCCATGATCCAATTACCTCCACCTGGTCTCTCCATTGACACATGGGGATTACGGGGATGACAATTCAAGATGATATTTGGGTGGGGACACAAAGCCTAACCATATCAAATAGGGAGAGCACTCTGAACTCAGAAATGTATAAGCATCTCAAACTCAAACAGAAAAAAGTTTCCTTTTAGGGTAGGGGAGAGGAAGCAGAGATAAGAGCCTCTTTTAAGGGGAAGCTAGATAAGTAAGAAGAAATGACCAGTAGATCTGACAGGAAAGTGGGCTCGATGTGATTAGCCGACTCCCAGGAGAAGCTGATAAAGGGCAAGTTCTACTTCTTTTTGCTCAGATCTGGAGGCAAGCAGAGTTCAGGGGCCCATAGGAAAAAGAGAAGGCTTTGGTTAAGACAAAGCAGAGGGTAAGAAATGGGCAATTGTGAATGCTTAGTTAGAAAATACAGGCTGGGCACAGTGGCTCATGCCTGTAATACCAACACTTTGGGAGGTCGAGGTGGGTGGATCACGAGGTAAGGAGATTGAGACCATCCTGGCTAAAATGGTGAAACCTTGTCTCTACTAAAAATATAAAAAATTAGCTCGGCATGGTGACATGTGCCTGTAATCCCAGCCACTCTGGAGGCTGAGGCAGAAGAATCGCTTCAACCCAGGAGGCGGAGGTTCCAGTGAGCCGAGATGGTGCCACTGCACTCCAGCCTGGGCAACAGAGCAAGACACCATCTCAAAAAAAAAAAAAAAAAAAAGAAAAGAAAAGAAAAAGTAAAGAAAATATAAGGTATGCCTGGAACATCTTGTTGTGTCCCTAAAATTAGATTTTCTAGTTACAAATGATGACTCTACCACTTGCAGTTTGTTAAAATGAGCCTCCCAAAATTACGTACACAAAGACAGATGTTAAGACAAATATGATGAAATTAACAGTGATCGAGTCTAAGTGAAGGACATGTAGCTAATTCATTGTATTATTATTTCATTTATTTATTTTTTTAAGACAGGGTCTCGCTCCATCGCCCAGGCTGGAGTGCAGTGGCACAATCATAGCTCATTACAAGCTTCAACTCCTGGGCTCAAGTCATCCTCTCACCTCAGCCCCCCAAAATTCTGGGATTACAAGAGTGTACCACTACTCCTGGCTTCCATTGTACTTTTAAAATTTTCCTTGCATTTGAAAGTTTATAATAATAAAATATTGGGGGAAAATACACACAGAACAGACATATTTTACAAGAAATTTCAAGTGCTTAGGAATAAACCTAACGAAAGGCATATAAATCCTTCTTTGGATAAAATTATAAAATCTTATTGAGCTGCATTAAAGAAAACCTAAATAAGTTGAGAGACATAACCTATTTTTGGATAAGAAGGATCAATATCTCCAGCTGATTCTGAAAGTATTGTGGAATTGCTCACAGTCTTTCTTTTCAACTTGAACCTGGCAGAATGGCGCTGGCAAAGAAAGGAGAGGTGAAGAAGGGCCATTTTGCCATCCACAGGTGGTGACCTAAGAATACTGCCATCAATATTCATAATTGCATCCATGCAGTGAGCTCCAAGAAGCATGCCCCTCAAGCTGTCTAAGATATTCAGAAATTTGCCATAGGGTGATGGGGACTCCAAATGTGTGGATGGACAGCAGGCTCAAGGAAGCTGTCTGGGCCAAAGGAATAAGGAGTGTCCCATACCGTCTCCATATGCATTGTCCAGAAATGTAATGAGGATGAAGATTCACCAAACAAGCTCTCTACCTTGGTAACTCATGTACCTGTCACCACTTTAAAAAATCTACAGTCAATGTGAATGAGAACAAACTACTGATTGTCAAAGTTATAAAACCACCTAAATAAACAATAAAAAGTGTTATACAGGAATAAAGGGCCAAGCACAGTCAAACACTCTTGTTTGTAAGATTTAGTAGGCCGGGTGCTGGTGGCTCACGCCTGTAATCCCAGCACTTTGGGAGGCCGAGGTGGGCGGATCACGAGGTCAAGAGATGGAGACCATCCTAGCCAACACTGTGAAACCCTGTCTCTACTAAAAATACAAAAATTAGCTGGGCGTAGTGGCATGCACCTGTAGTCCCAGCTACTCGGGAGGCTGAGGCGGGGGAATTGCTTGAACCTGGGAGGCGGAGGTTGCAGGGAGGCGGAGGTTGCAGGGAGGCGGAGGTTGCAGTGAGCCGAGATTGCGCCACTGCACTCCAGCCTGGGCGACACTGCGAGACTCTGTCTCAAAAAAAAAAAAAAAAAAAAAAAAAAATTTAGTATTAGCTATAGGGTTTTTTTAAAAAGTAGGTCTATGAAACAGAAAGGAAAACCAGGAATGAAGTCCTATGCATACACAGAAACATGACTGGGGTGGAACACCACCACAGATCAGAGGAGAAAAAAAGATGGCTCCTGGGAAAATGGTTCTGAAACAACAGCAACAAAAACACAGTTTCAGAGAATTAAAGCCCTAAATGTAAAAGGCAAAATTATAACAACTTTTAGAAGCCAAAATAGGAAAATATTTTAAGACACTAGAGGGGGAAAATATTTATTAAACAATGTGTGAAAAACACAGGACAAAGGAAAGGATTGAGAAATTGAACTGCAATAAATGAAGAGCATCTATCAAAAGATAACCATAAAGTAAATGAAAGATGATGCCAAAGGAAATGACCAACAAAACGAAGATATCTGCATATCATATCACTGGAAGGATTATTACCCATAATATATTTTATTTAACTTCAATAAAAATGGAAAAATAAATACACAGAAAAATGGGCAAAAGGCAATTCATAGATAGGACTCAGGAATGTATTTTTAAAAGTTCACATGGGGCGCAGTGGCTCACGACTGTAATCCCAGCACCAGCACTTTGGGAGGCCAAGGCAGGCAGATCACAAGGTCAGGAGCTCGATGTATTGTTGAGGAATACATATACACTATAAAGATTCTAGTGTACATTCCAGATTGGTGGTGCAATCATAGTTCACAGCAGCCTCAAACTCCTGGGCTCAAACACTCCTCCTGCCTCCGCCTCCCAAGCAGTTAAGACTACAGCATGCACTATCATGCCTGGCCAATTTTTCACCTCTGTGGAAAGAACGGGTCTTGCTATATTGCCCAGGCTGATCTTGAACTCCTAGTGTTATGTAATCTTCCTACCTTGGCCTCCCAAAGTGCTGGGATTACAGGCATGAGCCTGGCCAGTTTATTTTCTTTCTTTCTTTCTTTCTTTCTTTCTTTCTTTCTTTCTTTCTTTCTTTCTTTCTTTCTTTCTTTCTTTCTTTCTTTCTTTCTCTCTCTCTCTCTCTCTCTCTCTCTTTCTCTCTCTCTCTCTTTCTTTCTTTCTTTCATTCTTTTTTCTTTTTTTTTTTTTAGACAGGGTCTTACTCTGTTGCCCAGGCTGGAGTGCAGTGGCATGATTATGGTGCCCGCCTGTAGTCCCAGCTACTCGGGAGGCTGAGGCAGGAGAATGGCGTGAACCCGGGAGGCGGAGCTTGCAGTGAGCCGAGATTGCGCCACTGCAATCTCAAAAAAAAAAAAAAAGATTTTGGAAGTTTGGCCGGGTGCGATGGCCCATGCCTGTAATCCTGACACTTTGGGAGGCCGAGACGGGCAGATCACAAGGTCAGGAGTTCGAGACCAGCCTGGACAACATGGTGAAACCCCCACCTCTACAAAAAACACAAAAAAATTAGCTGGGTGTGGTGGGCACCTGTAATCACAGCTACTTGGGAGGCTGAGGCAGGAAAATCGTTTGAACCCTGGAGGCAGAGGTTGCAGTGAGCCGAGATCATGCCATTGCACTCCAGCCTGGACAACAGGGTGAGACTCCATCTAAAAAAAAAAAAAAAAAATTTGGAGGTGAGATGTTTACCATTTTAGAACACTTCAAGGGATGACAAAGCCCAAAGCTGCACTGTCCAGCAGAAATAGAATGTGAACTACATTTGTAATTTTGAATTTTCTAATAGCCACATTTTCTTTAAAAAAAAAAAGTGAAAAGGCTAGGCACAGTGGCTCATGCTTCTAATCCCAGTACTTTGGGAGGCTGTGGTGGAAAGATCGCTTGAGTCCAGGGCTTCAAGATGAGCCTAGGCAATATACTGGGACCTCTACAAAACAAACAAACAAACAAAGGCAAAGAAAATGAAAGAAAAAAAATTAGCCAGGTGTGATGGTGTGCACCTGTAGTCCCAGCTACTTGGGAGGCTAAGGTGGGAGGATCACCTCAGCCCAGGAGGTCAAGGCTGCAGTGAGCCATGATCGTGCCACTGCACTCCATCCTGGGTGACAGATTGGGACCTTGTCTCAAAAATAATAATAAAATACAATAAATAAGGAAAAAGAAACATAAAATTAATTGGAAATAATTTTAATAATATATTTTCATATTATATATATGTGTATATATGTATATACACACACAAAATATGCTTTTAACATATAATCTATTTTATTTATTTTTTGAGACAGGGTCTTGCTCTGTTACCCAGGCTGGAGTGCAGTGGAACAATCACAGCTCACTGCAGCATTGACCTCCTGGGCTCAAGTGATCCTCCCACCTCAGCCTCCCAGGTAGCTAGCTAGAACTACAGGTGCATGCCACCATGCCTGGCTAACTTTTTTTTCTTTTCTTTTTGTGGAGACCAAGTCCCACTATGTTATCCAGGCTGGTCTTGAACTCCTGGGCTCAAACAATCCTTCTGCATCAGTCTCCCAACATGCTGGGATTACAGACATGAGCCACTCCACCTGGCCTATAATCAGTTTTAACAATGGGTATATCCAGTGATTGACAGCACAGACTCTAGAGTCACATAAAACTGGGTTTAAATCCCTGGTCCATCATTTGCTATGCTCCAACAACTTAAATCATTTATCCCTTACAATGATATCATAAAGAACTATTATTATCCTAATTTCACAAATGAAAAAACCGAAGCAAAAAGAAGTTAAACAACCTGCCAAGGGTTCTAGAGCTAGCTAAGTGTAGAGCTGAGAAATCACCCAGTCAGCCTGGCTCCTGGGCGCACACCAATGACTGCTATCTCTGCTCTTCTGTACAGAGCCTGACCTGGTATCCCAATGGAGATGCCCAGGAGGCCACTGAGAATCTGTAGCTAGAAAACGTTGGTGTCCTCAACCAGTAACCATTTTATGAGTCTCAACTCAGTGGGGAGTATATATGAAAAAATTATTTTTCCTCAAATCAGTGCTTTCAACCATATTATACTAAATCCCCTTTTCCTATACTTTAACAACATGCTGGACAGATATCATGATTTTCCATTTAGATTCCTCACTTTCAGTGTGAAAACTGAGTTCAGTCCAGCTGAAAACCACAATCACATACCTAATTCAAAACTTCCCTATCTGCTATGACCTGAATGTTGACGTCCCTCCAAAATTCGTATGTTGAAATCCTAACTGCCAGGGTGATGGTGTTAGGAGGTGAGAGCTTTGGAAGGTGATTAGGTTATGATGGTGGGGCACTCATGGATGGGATTTGTGCCCTTATGAAAGAGGCCTCAGAGAGACCCTGGCCTTTTCTGCCACATGAGGGTTCGTGGACCAGGGAGTGGGCCCTCACCAGACAGAATCTGCTGGTGCCTTGATCTTCAACTTTTCTGGAGAATTGTGAGGAACAAATTTCTGTTGTTTACAAGCTACCCTGTTTATGATGTTTTGTTATAGCAGCCTGAATGGACTAAGACACTATCCTTCATTCCTTGCTTAGAGCTACAGCTTGAGGAACCAAAAGAGGTGGCGGTCAGGAGGCGGGGATAGAGTCAACTTCATTATTTCCTCTACCACACTGAGGTGAAATCTGGCTTTCATTTTCTTGACTCCCATTCCACCCCACCCACACCCTGCCTAGCCTCTGACTCTTACTGCTGGAGTTCCCTTACCTGACCAACTATGTCTTGGGGCCAGCTAAGGTCCAAGAAAACATGTGTATCCCTGCCACCCAACCAGCAAGCAGCAGCAACTACTCCAAGGTTGCCCTCTCTCTTGTGCTGCCATCTCGAAGCCAAGGTTCAGTTGAGGCAAGAAATGCCTGTCTGGCCGGGCGTGGCAGCTCACGCCTGTAATCCCAGCACTTTGGGAGGCTGAGGGGTGGGGGGTGGATCACTTGAGCTCAGGAGTTCGAGACCAGCCTGGCCAACATGATGAAACCCCGTCTGTACTAAAAATACAAAAAATTAGCTGGGCGTGGTGGCGGGCGCTTGTAATCCCAGCCACTCAGGAGGCTGAGGCAGAGGCAGAAGAATCACTTGAACGCGGGAGGCGGAGGCTGCAGGTTGCTGTGAACCGAGATCGTGCCACTGCACCTGCACTCCAGCCTGTGTGAAAGAGCAAGACTCTGTCTCAAAAAAAAAAAAAAAAGAAAAGAAATGCAGCCAGGCGTGGTGGCTCACGCCTGTAATCCCAGCACTTTGGGAGGCCAAGGCGGGTGGACCACAAGGTCAGGAGATTGAGACCATCCTGGCTAACACAGTGAAACCCCGTCTCTACTAAAAATACAAAAAAAAAAAAAAAAATTAGCCAGGCGTGGTGGCGGGTGCCTGTAGTCCCAGCTACTCGGGAGGCTGAGGCAGGAGAATGGCGTGAACCCGGGAGGTGGAGCTTGCAGTGAGCCAAGGTCGCGCCACTGCATTCCAGCCTGGACAACAGAGTGAGACTCTGTCTCCAAAAAAAAAAAAGAAATGCCTGTCTACTTGTTGCAGGCACCCCCAGTCTCTCTCAGCGTTTCTACTGGAGGCTTCTCCCTCACTTAGTTTTTTGTTTTTTGGTTTTTTTTTTTCCTTTGAGACGGAGTCTTGCTGTGTAGTCCAGGCTGGATGGACTGCAGTGGTGAGATCTCGACTCACTGCAAGCTCCGTCTCCTGGGTTCAAGCAATTCTGCCTCAGCCTCCCGAGTAGCTGAGATTACAGGTATGTGCCACTATGCCCAGCTAATTTTTTTGTATTTTTAGTAGAGACGGGGTTTCATCATCTTGGCCAGGCTGGTCTTGAACTCCTGGCCTGAAATGATCTGCCCACCTTGGTCTCTCAAAGAGCTGGGATTACAGGTGTGAGCCACCGCGTCTGGCCACCCTCACTTAGTTTTGTGAAGGAAAGAAATACCACATGGCCAAGGGCAACTCTCATTTCCTCTGTCTGCTCCACTTCTCCCCAGCCTCTTTTCTATAGACGGGAGTTGAGGATAGGGTGAAAGCTGCCATGAATAAGGCTCATTCTGCTGTTCGTTAGTAAACCCAGGGGTAGAATCTAGCTCCAGTGATGGGTGGCTCTCTTTAAAACATATCTTTCTTGGTTCTTCTTTGCCTCGGCTTTTGACGTTAGTCCTTGATTTTGATTCAACAGAAGCAGCCACTTTTGGCATCTTGTTATAGATGCACAGGTGGTAATTGAAGCCATGAGAGTTAACCAATATATAAAGAACTGCAGACAGCTGAGAAGGAGTGCTATCTTCGTCCTTTATTAAGAGTCAGCTATTGGCCAGGCGCAGTGGCTCACGCCTGTAATCCCAGCAATTTGGGAGGCCAAGGCAGGCGGATCACGAGGTCAAGAGATCCAGACCATCCTGGCCAACATCGTGAAACCCCGTCTCTACTAAAAGTACAAAAAATTAGCTGGGCGTGCTGGCGGGCGCCTGTAGTCCCAGCTACTCGGGAGGCTGAGGCAGGAGAATCATTTGAACCTGGGAGGCAGAGGTTGCAGTGAGCCAAGATTGCACCACTGCACTGGTGACAGAGTGAGATTCCATCTCAAAAAATAAATAAAAAGTCAGCTATTAGCACCTTCGGAGGCTGAGGTGGGCAGATCACCTGAGGTCAGGAGTTGGAGACCAGCCTGGCCAACATGGTGAAACCCTCTCTCTACTAAAAATACAAAAATTAGCTGGATATGGTGGTGCATGCCTGTAATCCCAGCTACTCAGGAGGCTGAGGCATGAGAATCACTTGAATCTGGGAGGCAGAGGTTGCAGTGAGCAGAGATGGAGTGACTGTACTCCAGCCTGGGCAACAGAGCGAGACTCAGTCTCAAAAAAAAAAAAAAAAAAAAAGAAGATTAAAAAAATGTGATTATGCACTGGTGAAATAGCCATTGTAGAATCATGTCTTGAAATGTCCTATGTTGACTAAATGTATCCAGAATTGCCATGTGAAATGTGTGAAGGACAAGATGTTCTGTGTTTGGTAAATGTGTATGAGGAAGAGAGAAACAATTAGAAGTTCTCTGTCACACAATCTACACACTACCAGGAAGTTATTCTAGAAAAAATAACGTTCTCTAAAACGAACCATGCAATCTGACACCCGTCTTCCACCTCTCAGGGAAGAGAAACTTCAAAGGCAGGAGGCAGGGCCAATGCATGATGTGTTCTATTGTCCCAAGGAGACCTGCCTGAGCCTTGACCCTAGTTTCTGATGGCTTTCCGTGTTGAGTGTAGCCTAAGAAGCAGAAACTGAATCTACTGGAACCTTTCTGAATAGGGTTTATTTAATCACATGCACTGTTTCCTGTTTAAAGCATTTCCCAAAATGGCATAGCACCTCCTCTCCAATGGTGGTCAAATTGCGATGTGTACCCTTGGGGGAACTTGAAGAATTTCTATGATGTACATGGGCAGGAACAGCTTGAAAGGACCAATTTCTGAGTCTCAGCTTCCATTTGCACTCCGTAAAATTGACCTACCTGGGAATGTGTCTATGGTCTGCTAGTATTCCAGTCCCCCTTCTCCTAGCATACAAAATAAGGCAGACTTCTCACCCATCCCAAAACTTTTATGTTGTGTAGGGTGCAGGGGTGAGGGGCTGTACAAACTCTCTGAAACACAAAATAAAGGTACTATTCAGCCTTATTTCATCCAGATACCCAGATTCATACCTTGATTAATTAGCTATCTATCTATTGCTGCATAGAAAATTAGCCCAGAACAGCCAGGCACAGTGGCTCCCACCTGTAATCCCAGCACTTTGAGAGGCCGAGGTGGGCAGATCACGAGGTCAGGAGATCAAGACCATCCTGGTCAACATGATAAAACTCTATCTCTACTAAAAATACAAAAATTAGCTGGGCATGCGCCTGTAATCCCAACTACTTGGGAGGCTGAGGCAGGAGAATCGTTTGAACCCGGGAGGTGGATATTGCAGTGAGCTGAGATTGCACCACTAAACTCTGGCTTGGTGACAGAGAGAGACTCTGTCTCAAATAAATAAATAAATAAATAAAAATAAAAAAAATAAATTAGCCAATAACATAGTAGCTTAAAACAACAATAAACACAAATTCCCCAGGGTCGTTATGGTGGGATGCGACTTCATCACCAGATTGACCTATCAAGTGCAAGGAAACTTGGCTTCAGGAGAGGCTAACTTACTTCTGTGTAGTGTAGGGGGAAAAGAGAAAACACACACACACACACACACACACACACACATGTGCGCGCACGCACAGCGGTAAAGCAGAAGTTTCCAGCTGGGTTTTCTGTCCCTTTGGCCACATAATCAAGTCAGGTGATCTAACTTGTTAAAACCATCAGTAAAGAAATTGACCCTGGGGTTTCCCAGATTCAGTTTTTATTTTTATTTATTTTATTTATTTATTTTTTTTGAGATGGTGTCTCACTCTATCACCCAGGCCGGAGTGCAGTGGTGCCATCTCAGCTCACTGCAACCTTCGCCTCCTGGATTCAAGCGATTCTCCTGCCTCAGCCTCCCGAGTAACTAGGATTACAAGCGTGCACCACAACGCCTGGCTAGGTTTTGTATTTTTAGTGGAGACAGGGTTTCACCATGTTGGCCAGGCTGGTCTCAAATTCCTGACCTGGACAGAGGCCTGGCAGGTGATCTACCTGCCTCGGCCTCCCAAAGTGCTGCGATTACAGGTGTGAGTGACTGCGCTTGGCCCAGATTCAGATTTTAAACAGCACATGACAAATCTTGCTGCCCTTCTATCCGCTAAAGGTAAAAAACCAAACGTCCATAATTCTCCAAAGGCAAAGATAGAGTTTTTCCAGTACAGATGTAAGTCAGCCTATTATCCACACATTCCCAACAAATGGCCTTTAAGAGCCTTTGGTGCCAAATTCAACAAATGGAAGGGTTTTACACAGGTTAGGAAGATCACCAGATGCATGTGAGTCATGTTTACTTGAAGATCACTCTTCATGACACATATTAAATATTCTTAGTGCTTACATACTTAATGAAGCCTTATAGGTATTCTGTAAGTATTTATTGAGAAATAGGAAAGAAGAAGGAAGAAGAAAAAATACAATTCTTGTGGGTTCTATTTTCCTTTCTGCCTCTGCGCTTTCCCTATACTAAGCATTTTTGCTTCCTCATCTACATTGTAGTTCTACTCTCAGCTGTTTACACTTCACTTTCCTAAAAGCACCAGTGTGACCTTGATATCTGGCCCTAATTTAGCCTTTTGATGTCCATAGTTTCTGTTTTCTCCATCTGACACATGTTCGTTTCTCTTATTCTTGGATGCCTAGGTTCTGGGCTCCTATTGGGTTATCTTTCAAGTCATCCCAAGATAGAAGATAGACTTCCTGCTGAGAGAGAAGGCAGTTAGAGGCTGGTTAGGCAGATAGAGAGGGAGGGTCTCTGGAGAAGGGCAGTGTTCACAAGAACGCTAGCAGGACCGTACCTACACCGCCTCTGCAGCTAATGGGAAGAAATGTGGTTAAGAACTTCCCCTTATGCCAGGATGTTGCTCAGAAGGGACTGTCCTAACTTAGGCACAGGCGGAATAAATCAACCTAAGTGTCCTTGGCCCAGCTCATCATAGTGTCATTAACATGACATTTTTGTGGTTTTAGCCCCTTGGTGGGTTTCACTTAGGCACTCGTGGGTAACAACCAAGATGGAGTCACTCTGGCCAATCCCAGGCATGTGCAGATGCAACACCCTTAGGAGGGAACTTTACCCCTCCCATTTTGGGCAGAACCCACAGAAGACTTCCTTCCTTCCTCTTCCACATAAAAGACCCAGAACTCAGCCCCATTTCTGAAAACTTGCTTTCAGGGCACCTCTCTTTGCTGAGAGCTTTCCTTTTGCTTAATAAATCCTACTCTACTTACTCTGTGGTGTCTGTGTTCCTTATTCTTCTTGGTCCTGGGATAAGAACTCGGATGTAGCTGAACTAAGGAGTGATTTAGACTGCAATGCTGCTCCAGAAGATAGACTTCCTGCTCCAGAACATAGAAATGGGTGTGATATCTTCTCCCAAATTCAAAATAAATGACAATGGCTGAGCACGGTAAATTATGCCTGTAATCCCAGCACTTCGGGAGGCTGAGGCCAGCGGATCACTTGAGGCCAGGAATTCGAGACAAGCCTGACCAACACGGTGAAACCCCCTCTCTACTAAAAATGTAAAAATTAGCTGAACGTGGTGGCTGATGCCTATAATCCCAGCACTTTGGGAGGCAGAGATGGGCGGATCACTTGACGTCAGGGGTTTCAGACCAGTTTGGTCGACATGGTGAAACCCTATCTCTATTAAAAATACAAAAAGAATTAGCCGAGCGTGGTGGCACACGCCTGTAATCCCAGCTACTTGGGAAGCTGAGGCATAAGAATTGTTTGATCCTAGGAGGCCAGATCATGTCACTGCACTGCAGCCTTGGCAACAGAATGAGACTCTGTCACCAAAGAATAAATTAATACACAAATGAATAATAAAAAGTAAAATAAAATAAAACAACTCAATAAGCCCTACTTACCACTCTTTTCTAGGCAAATAGGTTAAAAGAGTTGTGTAACCTTTCATATTTATGTGATACCTTTCACGATTGATGCCATTCACTTCTTTTTTTTTTGAGACAGAATCTCACTCTGTTGCCCAGGTAAGAGTGCAGCAGCAAGTTATTGGCTCACTGCAACCTCTGCCTCCCAGGATTAAGCGATTCTCGTGCCTCAGCCTCCCAACTAGCTGGGATTACAGGCATGCGCCACCATACCCTGCTAATTTTTTTTTTTTTTTTTAGTAGAGACGGGTTTCCCCATGTTGGCTGGGCTGGTCTCAGACTCTTGGCCTTAAGTGATCTGCCTGCCTTGGCCTCCCAAAGTGCTAGGATTATAGGCATGAGCCACCATGCCCAGCCACTTCTTCTTTTTTTCTTTTATTTCAATAGCTTTTGGGGGAACAGGTGGTTTTTGGTTACATGGATAAGTTCTTTAATGGTGATTTCTGAGATATCAGTGCAACTATCACCTGAGCAGTGTACACTGTGCCCAATGTGTAGTCTTTCATCCCTCAGTCCCCTCCCACCTTTTCCCCTGAGTCCCTAAAGTCCAATGTCCATTTTATCATTCTCGTACTTTTGCTTCTTCATAGCTTAGCTCCCATTTGTAAGTGAGAACACACAATATTTGGTTTTCCATTCCTAAGTTACTTCACTTAGGGCCTCCCACTCCATCCAGTTGCTGCAAATGCCATTATTTCATTCCTTTTTATGGTTGAGTAGTATTCCAAGGTGCATATATACCACATTTTCTTTATCCAGTCGTTGGTTGATGGGCACTTAGGTTGGTTCCATATCTTTGCAATTGTGAATTGTGCTGCTGTAACCATGCACATGCAGGTGTCTTTTTCATATAATGACTTCTTTTCCTTTGGGTAGATACCCAGTAGTGGGATTGCTAGATGGAATGGTAGTTCTACTTTTAATTCGTTAAGGAATCGCCATACTGTTTTCCATAGTGGTTGTACTACTTTACACTCCCGTCAGCAGTGTAGAAGTGTTCCCTTTTCACCACATCCATGCCAGCATCTATTAGTTTTTGATTTTTAATTATGGGCATTCTTGCAGGAATAAGCTGGTATCTTATTGTGGTTTTAATTTGCATTTCCCTGATAATTAGTGATGTTGAGCATTTTTTCATATGTTTGTTGGCCATTTGTATATTTCTTTTGAGAATTGTCTATTCATGTCTTTTTCCCTCTTTTGGATGGGGTTATTTGGTTTTTTCTTGCTGATTTATTTGAGTTACTTGTAGATTCTCAATACTAGTCCTTTGTGGGATGCATAGTTTGTGAATATTTTCTCCCACTCTGTGGGTTGTCTATTTACTTTGTTAATTCTTTCTTTTGCTGTGCAGAGCTTTTTTGTTTAATTAGGCTTCATCTATTTATTTTTGTTTTTGTTGCATTTGCTTTTGGGTTCTTGGTCATGAACTCTTTGCCTAAACCAATGTCTAGAAGAGTTTTCCTGATGGTATCTTCTAGCACTTTTTTTTTTTTTTTGAAACAGAGTCTAACTCTGTTGCCCAGGCTTGAGTGCAGTGGCACGATCTCGGCTCACTACAACCTCTGCCCCCTGAGTTCAAGTGATTCTCCTGCCTCAGCCTCCTGAGTAGCTGGCATTACAAACACCTGCCACTGGGACCGGCTAATTTTTGTATTTTTAGCAGAGACAGGATTGCACCATCTTGGCCAGGCTAGTCTTGAAATCTTGACCTCGTGATCCACCCGCCTCAGCCTCCCAAAGTGCTGGGATTACAAGCATGAGCCACTGTGCCTGGCCTCTTCTAGCATTTTTGTGCTTTCAGGTCTTAGATTTAAGTGGTTTTTTTTTGTTTGTTTTTGTTTTTGTTTTTGACAGTCTCACTCTGTCCGAAGGCTGGAGTGCAGTGGCGTGATCTTGGCTCACTGCAACCTCTGCCTCCCGGGTTCAAGCGATTCTCCTGCCTCAGCTTCCCCAGTAGCTGGGATTACAGGCACCTGCCACCACGCCCAACTAATTTTTGTATTTTTAGTAGAGACGGGGTTTCACCATATTGGCCAGGCTGGTCTCAAACTCCTGACTTCAGGCTATCCCCCTGCCTCGGCCTCCCAAAGTGCTGGGATTACAGGTGTGAGCCACCGCACCAGCCAGATTTAAGTCTTTAATCCATCTTGAGTTGATTTTTGTGTAAGGAGAGAGATGAGGATCCAGTTTCATTCTTCTACATGTGGCTTGCCAATTATATCAGCACCATTGGTTGAATAGGGTGTCCTTTCCCCACTTTATGTTTTTGTTTGCTTTGTCAAAGATCAATTGGCTGTTAGTATTTGGCTTTATGTCTGGGTTCTCTATTCTGTTCCATTGGTCCTATGTTCCTATCTTCATACCAGTACCATGCTGTTTTGGTAACCACAGGCTTGGCACATAGCTTGAAGTTGGGTAATGTGATGCCTCCAGATTTATTCTTTTTATGTTGTATTGCTTTGGCTATGCGGGCTCTTTTTTGGTTCCATATGAATTTTAGGATCTTTTTTTCTAGTTCTGTGAAGAATGATGGCAGTATTTTGATGGGAATTGCATTGAATCTGTAGATTGCTTTTGGCAGTAAGTTCATTTTTGCAATATTGATTCTACTGATCCATGAGCATAGGATGTGTTTCTATTTGTTTCTGTCATCTATGATTCTTTTTTGTTTGTTTGTTTGTTTGTTTGTTTTTGAGACAGAGTCTCACTCTGTCTCCCTGGCTGGACTGCAGTGGCACAATCTTGGCTCACTGCAACCTCCACCTCCCGGGTTCAAGCAATTCTCCTACCTCAGCCTCCCGAGTAGCTGGGATTATTGGCATGTGCCACCATGCCCAGCTACTTTTTGTATTTTTAGTAGAGACGGGGTTTCGTGATGTTGGCCAGGCTTGACTTGAACTCCTGACCTCAGGTGATCCATCTGCCTTGGCCTCCCAAAGTGCTAGGATTACAGGTGTGAGCCACCACACCCAGCCTATGATTTCTTTCAGCAGTGTTGTGTAGTTTTCCTTGCAGAGGTCTTTCACCTCCTTGGTTAAGTATATTCCTAAGTATTTTATTTTATGTATATATTTTTTGCAGCTGTTGTAAAAGGGATTGAGTTCTTGATTTGATTCTCAGTTTGGTCGCTGTTGGTGTATAGCTGTGGTACTGATTTGTGTACATGGATTTTGTAGCCTGAAACTTTACTGAATTCATTTATCAGATCTAGGAGCTTTTTGGATGAGTCTTTAGGGTTTTCTAGGTATACAATCATATAATGAGTGAATAGTAACAGTCTGACTCCCTCTTTTCCAATTTGGGTACCCTTTATTTCTTTCTCTTGTCTGATTGCTCTGGCTAGGACTTCCTCCATTAACTTCTTTACAATTATCTTTGCAATCTGAGTTTACTCCTTATTAAATTTGTTCTCAATTCTTTAGGAAGATTGAATTTTAGTGTATAAATCCTGTTGACAAATGAGGTACTAGAATGATGAGAATTCTCTTTAAGAGGCCATTTCTGAGATAAATCTACATAGCAAGTAGGTCTAGTTGCTCAGTCCTTACACCTCCAAGGGAGCCTGGAATCATGATTGACCCTTGGCAAACCCTCGGAAATGTTCTTAGGATGTTCTTTATGTCACTAATTGATGATTTTGTTGTGTACACTTGGAGCAATGTACCATGCCATGCTGGCTTGCTAATTTGCTTTGCACAAACATTGAGATTGATGATGTACCCCTGGTCTCATTGTTGTGATCCTGAGTTTTGGTTGCTATGGCTAATCGCATAACAGGATATGTCTTTGTGATTGGTCCCTGATAAAAGCCTTAGACTCTGAAACCTGAATGGGCTTCCCTGAGCAGAGACATTTCACATATGTTCATTTCTAGAGAGAAAATACATCCTGTGTGACTTCAGATGAAAAAAGACTTGAAATATATGTTGGATCTCTCTAAATACTGCTACAGTCTCATCAATATACCATAATGTAGTAGTCTCTTGTTGTGTAGTATCACCAGGAGTTCTTTGTCTTATGACCATGCAAATTAAGGAATGTGGATGCAAAGCGTGAGGTTGGAGTGAAAGTTTAATAAATGAAAGAAGAAAGCTATCTATAGTGGAGAGGGGAGCCCAAGTGGGCTGCCGTTTTTACAGTTTAATTTAAAAGGTTTTTGGTTTGTTTGTTTGTTTGTTTGTTTGTTTGTTTTTTGAGATGAAGTCTTGCTCTCGTCCCCCAGGCTAGAGTGCAATGGTGCGATCTTGGCTCACTGCAACCTCCACCTCCCGGATTCAAGCAATTCTCCTGCCTCAGCCTCCCAAGTAGCGGGATTACAGGCACCTGCCACCACACCTGGCTAATTTTTGTATTTTTTAGTAGAGATAGGGTTTCACTTTGTTGGCCAGGCTGGCCTCAAACTCCTGACCTCAGGTGATCCACCCACCTTGGCCTCCCAAAGTGCTGGGATTACAGGCATGAACCACCGCACCCGGCCAGAAGTTTTTTTGTGTGTTTTTTGTTTGTTTGTTTGTTTTGGAGATGGAGTCTTGTTCTGTCACCCAGGCTGGAATGCAGTGGCATGATCTTGGCTCACTGCAACCTCCACCTCCCAGGTTCAAGCAATTCTTCTGTCCCAGCCTCCCGAGTAGCTGGGACTACAGGTGCCTGCCACCATGCCCGGCTAACTTTTGTATTTTTAGTAGAGATGGGGTTTCACCTTGTTGGTCAAGCTGGTCTCAAACTCCTGACCTCAGGTGATCCACCCACCTCGGCCTCCCAAAGTGCTGGGATTACAGGCGTGAGGCACCATGCCCGGCCTGATTTTTTAAAAGTTTTTATAGGAAACTCCTCTCATCTCTTTAGTTGTTGAGTAACTTATCTGTAAAGTCGTCTGCATAACTCCACACTATCTACAGGTGTGAGCCACTGTGCCTGGCCCAGGCTGACTCTTGTTAGGGACTAATGCAACCAATGACTTTAAGTTGGAGCCAGTGCTCACTGACCATTCTGAAAATCCTAGGGCTCGTAAGAATTATGCTAAGTTGGGCCAGTCGCGGTGGCTCACGCCTATAATCTCAGCACTTCGGAAGGCTGTGGCAGGCAGATCACTTGAGGTCAGGAGTTTGAGACCAGCCTGGCCAACATGGTGAGACCCTGTCTCTGCTAAAAATATAAAAATTAGCCGGGTGTGGTGGTGCACACCCATAATCCTAGCTACTAGGGAGGCTGAAGCAGGGGAACTGCTTGAACCCAGGAGGCAGAGGATGCAGTGAGCTGAGATTGTGGCACTGCACTCCAGCCTTGGCAGTAGAGTGACACTACATCTCAGAAAAAAAAAAAAAAAAGAATTATGCTAAATCTACTCTATTGCTCTATAATTGTAACAAAAAAGTCTGAATGACAGCACATCTGTTTACAGCATGATTTACTGAATTACTATTATTATTATTATTTTTTGAGACAGGGTTTCCCTCTGTCATTCAGGCTGTAGTGCAGTGGTCTGATCTTGGCTTACTGCAACCTCTACCTACTGGGCTCAAGTGAGCCTCCCACCTCAGCCACCTGAGTAGCTGGGACTACAGGTGCATACCACCATGCCTGGCTAATTTTTTTATATTTTTGGTAGAGTCAGGGTTTTGCCATGTTGCCCAGGCTGGTCTTGAACTCCTGAGCTCAACAAATCCACCTGCCTCAGCCTCCTAAGTGCTGGGATTACAGGCATGAACCACCACACCTGGCCAATTGACCGAATATTTTAATCCCACTGTTGAGACCTACTGCTCCAAAAAAAAACCTTCCTTTCAAAATATTACTACTCATGGACAATGTTCCTGGTCACCCAAGAGCTCTGATGGAGATGTACAAGAAGGTTAATGTTGTTTTCATGCATCCTAACATATCCACTTAGCAGCCCATGAATTAAGGGGCAATTCTGACTTTCAAGCCTTCTTATCTAAGAGATACATTTTGTAAGACGATGGCTGCTACAGATAGTGATTCCTCTGATGAATCTGGGCAAAGTGGATTGAAAACCTTTTGGAAAGGATTCACCATTTTAGGTGCCATTTGATTCATGTAAGTAGGTCAAAATATGAACATGAACTGGAGTTTGGAAGAAATTGATTTTAATCTTCATGGATGACTTTGAAGAGTTCAAGAGTTCAGTAGAAGAAGTAACTGAAGATGTAGTGGAAATAGCAAGAGAACTGGAATTATAAGTGGGGCCTAAAGATGTGACTGAATTGCTTCAATCACATGCTAAAAAAAGCTTTAATGGATGAAGAGTTGCTTTTTATGGATGAGCAAAGAAAGTGGTTTCTTGAGAGGGAATATATTCCTGGTGAAGATGCTGTGGATATTGTTGAAATGATAATGAAGGATTTAGAATATTCCATAAATTTAGTTGATAAAGCACCTTTAAAAGGATTTATTACAATTTTGAAAGAAGTTCTACTATGAGTAAAATGCTATCAAACAGCATAACATCCTAGAGAAATCTTTTGTGAAAGGAAGAGTCCACCACAGCCAGCATTATACTGATTGGGGAAAAGTTGAAAGCATTCTCTCTGAGAACTGGAACAAGACAAGGATGCCCACTTTTATTACTTCTATTCAACATAGTACTGGAAGTCCTAGCCAGAGCAATCAGACAAGAAAAAGAAACAAAGGGCATCCAAATCAATAAAGTGGAAGTCAAACTGTCCCTGTTCAGTAAAGTTTCAGAATACAAAATCACTGTACGCAAATCCGTAGCACTGCTATACACCAACAGCAACCAAGCTGAGAATCAAATCAAGAACTCAATCTCTTTTGCAACATTGCTGGAAAAAACAAAACAAAACAACAAAAGCAAAACAAAACAAAACAAAACCAAAAAAGCCACAAAATACTTAAGAATATACTTACCAAAGCAGGTGAAAGGCCTCTGCAAGGAATATGCTGAAAGAAATAACATGCTGAAAGAAATAACATAAACAAAACATGCTGAAAGAAATAATAGATGACACAAACAAATGGAAACATATCCCATGCTCATGGATCAGTAGAATCAATATTGCGAAAATGAACATACTGCCAAAAGCAATCTGCAGATTCAATGCAATTTCCATCAAAATACCATCATCATTCTTCACAGAACTAGAAAAAAAGCTGGGCGCGGTGGCTCACGCCTGTAATCCCAGCACTTTGGGAGGCAGAGGTGGGCAGATCATGAGGTCAGGAGATCGAGACCATCCTGGCTAACACAGTGAAACCCCGCCTCTACTAAAAATACAAAAAATTAGCCGGGCGTGGTGGCGGGCGCCTGTAGTCCCAGCTACTTGGGAGGCTGAGGCAGGAGAATGGCGTGAACCCGGGAGGCGGAGCTTGCAGTGAGCCGAGATTGCGCCACTGCACTCCAGCCTGGGTAACAGAGCGAGACTCCGTCTCAAAAAAAGAAAGAACTAGAAAAAAAATTCTAAAATTCATATGGAACCGAAAAAGAGCCCGCATAGCCAAAGCAATACTACATAAAAGGAATAAATCTGGAGGCATCACATTACCCAACTTCAAGCTATACTCCAAGCCTGTGGTTACCAAAACAGCATGGTACTGGTATGAAGAAGATAGGAACATAGGACCAGTGGAACAGAATAGAGAACCCAGACATAAAGCCAAATACTTACAGCTATTTGATCTTCGACAAAGCAAACAAAAACATAAAGTGGGGAATGGACATCCTATTCAACAAATGGTGCTGGGATAATTGGCAAGCCACATGTAGAAGAATGAAACTGGATCCTCATCTCTCATCTTACACAAAAATCAACTTAAGATGGATCACAGACTTAAATCTAACTCCCGAAACCATAAAAATGCCCTAGAAGATAATATCAGAAAAACTCTTGTAGACATTGGTTTAGGCAAAGAGTTCATGACCAAGAACCCAAAAGCAAATGCAACAAAAACAAAAATAATTAGATGGGACCTAATTAAACAAAAAAGCTCTGCACAGCAAAAGAAAGAATTAACAGAGTAAACAGACAACCCACAGAGTGGGAGAAATTATTCACAAACTATGCATCCAACAAAGGACTAGTATTGAGAATCTACAAGTAACTCAAATAAATCAGCAAGAAAAAACCAAATAACACCATCCAAAAGAGGGAAAAAGACATGAACAGACAATTCTCAAAAGAAATATACAAATGGCCAACAAACATATGAAAAAATGCTCAACATCACTAATTATCAGGGAAATGCAAATTAAAACCACAATGAGATACCAGCTTACTCCTGCAAGAATGCCCATAATTAAAAAATCAAAAACTAATAGATGTTGGCATGGATGTGGTGAAAAGGGAACACTTCTACACTGCTGATGGGAGTGTAAAGTAAATGCAAACGCATTTACCACTACAGAAAACAGTGTAGAGATTACTTAAAGAACTAAAAATAGAACTACCATTCCATCTAGCAATCCCACTACTGGGTATCTACCCAAAGGAAAAGAAGTCATTATATGAAAAAGACACCTGCATGTGCATGGTTACAGCAGCACAATTCACAATCGCAAAGATATGGAACCAACCTAAGTGCCCATCAATCAATGACTGGATAAAGAAAATGTGGTATATATGCACCATGGAATACTACTCAACCATAAAAGGGAACGAAATAATGGCATTTGCAGCAACTTGGATGGAGCGGGAGGCCATTATTCTAAGTGAAGTAATTTAGGAATGGAAAACGAAATATTGTATGTTCTCACTTATAAATGGGAGCTAAGCTATGAGGATGCAAAAGCATAAGAATGATACAATAGACTTTGGACTTTGGAGACTCAGGAAAAGGTGGGAGGGGAGTGAGGGATAAAAGACTATAGATCGGGCACCGTGTACAATGCTCAAGTGACAGTTGCACCAAAATCTCAGAAATCACCACTAAAGAAAGTATCCATGTAAGCAAAACCACCTGTTCCCCAAGAACTATTGAAATAAAATAAAATATTTTAAAAATGAGTCCATCAATGCAGCAAACTTTTTTGTTGTCTGATTTGAAGAAGTTGCCACATCCACTCCAGCCTTCAGCAACCACCACTCAGATCAGTCAGAAGTCATCCATGTTGAGGCAAGACTCTCCACCAGCTTTTTGCTGATGACACAAGATGACAACTCAATTAAGGCTCAGATGATTGTTAGCATTTTTTCAGCAATAAAGTATTTTATAATTAGTGTATTTATGTTGCACATTTATGACATAATGTTATTGCATACCTAGTAGGTTACAGTATAGTGTAAGCATAACTTTTACATGCACTGGGAAACCAAAAAATTTGTGTGACTTGCTTTATCACAATATTCACTTTATGGCAGTGGTCTAGAACAAAACCTGATATCACAAAACCTGATATTCCTGATATATGGGCTTATCTCTGAAGTATACCTGTATCTCAGTGAAGATGTTATTATTTATTTATTTATTTGAGACAGAGTCTCACTGTGTCACCCAGGTTGGAATGCAGTGGCACGATCTCCACTTACTGCAACCTCCACCTCCCGGGTTCAAGAGATTCTCCTGCCTCAGCATCCGAAGTAGCTGGGACTACAGGCATGTGCCACCACACCAGGCTAATTTTTTTTGTATTTTTAGTAGAGACAGGGTTTCACCATGTTGGTCAGGCTGGTCTCAAACTTCTGACCTCAAATGATCTGCCCACCTCGGCCTCCCAAAGTGCTGGGGTTACAGGCGTGAGCCACCGCGCCTGGACAAAGATGTTACTTGCTTTTTTTTTGAGACGGAGTTTTGCTCTTGTTGCCCAGGCTAGAGTGCAATGGTGTGATCTCGGCTCACTGCAACCTCCGCTTCCCGGGTTCAAGCGATTCTCCTGCCTCAGCTTCCCCAGTAGCTGGGATTACAGGCACCTGCCACCACGCCCAACTAATTTTTGTATTTTTAGTAGAGACAGGGTTTCACCATGTTGGCCAGGCTGGTCTCAAACTCCTGACTTTAGGCTATCCGCCTGCCTCGGCCTCCCAAAGTGCTGGGATTACAGGCGTGAGCCACCGCGCCCGGCCAAAGATGTTATTTTCTATAAAGGCAACCGTTAGAACCTTCAACTCATTATTTTTAGGCTGACAAAAACATCTGTTATTATTATACCACACTATGTATTGTGAATAGTTTATTTTACAAGCATAATAGAGTATTTTGAAATTACACTCTGCTAGAACCCCTTGCTAGTTGTTAATTTTACCTAGAAAAGACTCACAGATTCTTTGTTAAAATAAGAAATCTAGCAAAGTCAGACTTTTCTCCCTACCACCCCACCCAACCCCATTATACACAAAAGAAAAGAGGAACAGTCCAGATGTGGTGGCTGACACCTGTAATCCCAGTACTTTGTGAGGTGGAGAGTTGGGCAGATCACCTGAGGCCTGGAGTCTGAGATCACCCTGGCCAATATGGTGAATTCTCATCTTTACTAAAAACACAAAAATTAGCCGGGCATGGTGGCCCGTGCCTGTAATCCCAGCTACTTGGGAAGGTGAGGCACAAGAATCGCTTGAACTCAGGAAGTGGAGGTTGCAGCGAACAACCACTGCACTCCATCCTGGGTGACAGAGCAAGATCTGTCTCAAAAAAAAAATAAATAAATAAAATAAAATAAAATATAAAAAAAAGAGATGAGAAACAAATGATCAGATTTGCAGAGTAATCTTTCAAGAATTTATCCTATTTACACATGCAGAAATGTCAATTACAACATTACTATCAGGGCAACAAATTATCAAGTAAAGCTACCAATCAGAATTATAATCTATGAGAAAGGAGTTCACTCAGCTTATTTCCAGGAGTACCTGGAGTCACGGTACCAACCCTTAGCCAACCACTTGGGGCTAAGTCCTTGGAGTTAACATAGTCACCAATGAAGTTGTTTTGTGCTCCTGAGGCACTGAGGCATGACATGCTCAATTGCCAGCACTGCCTAACACAAATATCAAGATGTGCCATGAGCACCTGCCTCCTGGGTAAAGATCTGCACCATAGATTGTCACGTGGGAGGAATGTGCCTTGTGCAACCAGACTCCTGTAAGAACTCCGGGACCTCAGACCTAAGTGGACTTACGTGGGCAGAGACATCTCATATATGTTCGTATAATTTGTAGTCGTGCCAAAAGCACCTTACTGTGACCAGCATGGAGGGAGAACCTAGAAGTCTGCACCTAATCTTTCGGGTCTTCTTGTAGGCATAACTTTTTTCTGCTGATCCTGTATAATATCCTTTGCTGTAATAGGCTTTTAGCCATGAGAATAACCTGTTACTCAGCCAAATGCGTCCTGACAAATCTCAAAAGTAGTATATTCTCAGGACCCATAAAGCACAAGCATTTTTCCAAAGGTAATTTTCAAGGCCAGGGCAAGTAAGTTTCTAAGTCTTAGTTTTATAAAACTCTTTTTTCAAAGAAAATGACTTACAATAAGAAACCGAAGATTCACACCACTCTCCATATTGCACAAAAGAGAAAAAAGATTGATATTTTTGTCAATATCGACCATTTGACACTTTACAAAATCAGATATTTTGAATATGTGTTATATCTCAGAAAGACATCCTCCTCTCTGTGCTATAGGGGAGAGGAGCATATCCTTTATTTATTTCCAAGACTTCTGTTAATTACAAAGGCTCACATTGATAAGCCAAGCTCTGGATTTTCATTAGTTAGCATTATAAGCAAAAAGCAGGCCTGTGAGATCAATTTTACTGGCATAAATGCAGTAAAGAATGAATAAGATATAATAATAACTGAAATACAGAGCCTATAGCATTATTTTTCCACAATATGTAATCACATATTTATAAATCTGAAAATAAAAGAAATATCATTAGAATGTCACTCTGTACAAATTTATGGCAATATGCACAAAATACACTAAAAGCTGCCTTATTTTTATGCAGTTGCATGCTCACATATATATTTCTGTAACAGACAATTTTACTTTGATGTGACAGGAGATAATCGATCTTGAAGTTAAAGATAATAAATTTGGGTGTGACTAAGGTGTATAAATTTCAGTTGATCTATATAGATTTATAGCAAGATGGTTAAAATGTGAGGTTGCTCATCAGAGGCATAGGGTTATCTTAATTATCTCTGATATGTAAATCATTTACTTTTCACAAAAGGCCCTCTTTCTTGTGTAAACACAAACAACCATAAATTAAAATAAGTAGCAGATGACTAGTATGCTATTTTATTTTGCTTTATGAACAAAAGTAAACCTGCTTTGAAGACACAAATAATCTTTCTTGTAAGTAGGTACGTATCCGGCACCTTATTACATAGAAGAGAGCACCAGCACCAGACCCTGCCAAAATGAAACAAAACAAGAACTGGCAAAATGATTGTTTCTAATATAAGCCAGGAAATTGTTTCACAGGTCAAGAATGAGGAAAACTTTTTTTTTTTTTCCTAAGATCTTACCTCTTATTGTCTTTAGGAGTTCCTGTTTATTATTGAGGTCATGTGTTTTGTTACCAGGTCAACTAGCTTACTCCTGCACTGATGATCCTGGAATGAAAGTTTTTTTTATTGAAAGTCTATTTGCAGCCAGGTGTGGTGGCTCACACCTGTAATCCCAGCACTTTGGGAGGTTGAGGCAAAAGGATCCCTTGAGCCCAGGAGTTTAAGACAAGCCTGGGTTACATAGTGAGACCCCATCTCTACAAAAAATAAAAAATTAGCTGGGCATAGTCTCAGCTACTCAGGAGACTGAGGTGGGAGGATTGCTTGAGCCCTGAAGGTGGAGGCAGCAGTGAGCTGTGATTGTACCACTGCGCTCGAGGCTTGAGGACAGAGCAAAACACTGACTCAAAAAAAAAAAAAAAAAAAAAAGAAAGAAAGTCTACATCCAATAGCCAGAAGTATGTCTCTAAGGTCCTTGACCTTCCAAGTATAATGCAAAACACAGAAGAGATTGTTTTAGAATGATAAATTTGACTACTAAGCAAAAAATTATGCATGGCATAAGTCACAATTAACAAAGCCAAAAGAAAAATGACAAATATTTAATAAGAATATCTGGAAGCACTCAAGATCCATTAAGGCAATTGGAGTGTAATATCAGGCAGAAAGAACTAGAATGTAACTGAACTCAATATATTGATTGGGTTCTAATCCTAAAATACTGATTTTTATACTGTCCAAAGAAAGTTTGCAATCAAAACAAAGGTCAGAAGAGATAAGTAAAGGACAGCCAGAGAGCAAGATTTTGCACTGATTAGCTCTCACTATTCAGAGTCCAGAGAAATTTACTATAGTGGACACAAATACTCTAGTTGTTCCATAGTTATATACTATTGTGGGATAAGAATGGTTTATTTCAGTTTGGATAAAGTATCTCTTAAAACTATATAACTCCTGTTATTCCAGTTTCACTCTCCTTTAAGTAAACTGATTCTGTCAATACTTACCAGTTACTGGACAGGCACAGCAGCTCACACTTGTAATCCCAACACTTTGGGAGGTTGAGGTGGGTGGATCACTTGAGGTCAGGAGTTCGAGACCAGCCTGGCCAACATAGTGAAAACCCGCCTCTACTAAAAATACAAAAATTAGCTGGGTGTGGTGGCGGGCACCTGTAATCCCAGCTATTCGGGAGGCTGAGGCAGGAGAATGGCTTGAGCCCAAGAGGTGAAGGTTGCAGTGAACCACCAAGATCACGCCACTGCACTCCAGCCTGGGTGATGGAGTGAGACTCTGTCTCAAAAAAAAAAAAAAAAAAAAAAAAAAAAAAAAAAAAAAAAAAAAAAGATACTTACCAGTTACCAAAAAGAGAACATGAAAAATATATGTAATTTTCACTATAAA